>NC_000008.11:14708587-15011617 GCF_000001405.40 Homo sapiens | reverse complement strand
ATAGTCTGGGAGTTAATAATTTAGTATGGAATTTCAGCTGTGACAGTGAAAACTATCTTATAATCTGCAGTTTTCAATAGGTTCTTATGAATGAGGTAAACTTAAAGATTTAAATTATTTCTTGATTTTTATTAACATGTTTATAAAATCTTTGGAAAAATTCTAATTTACTGATTTATTTAGATTTTTCAGCTGAATATTTTAAAAAGCTGTACTTGAATTGCTTTAACAAACATACAAACAAAACCGTGAGGATGCTTTCCTTGTGGACTCTGTAATGGCCGTTTTTGTTTCCTTTCAAGTTCAAATAGACAAAGAATATAAATAACAGACACATACCTCCTGGAACATTCTGTAGGAACTACAGTGAAGTACCAAAATATCCAGTTAAAAAAAGCGTGTAATGAAATTTCACCTACTTTAACTATGTAGGATAATTTTCTAAACATTTAAGCAAAATTTCTCTCTAAATAACCCTTATTGCCTTGAAGACATAAAAAGATGTAAAAATTAAAAGCAAACAAGAAGATAAGATTGGCTTTGTCCATTTTGGAAATTTAAAGAAAAAATTGCAAAAACTGATAATCTTCGTTTAATTATTTTCAGCTTCATTAATAGATAACATACCTGCACAATAGATGAAGCACTGTCCAATTTTTGAAGCCAGGGCAGAAGTTTCATTGCCTCTCAAGTTAGCCAGGGATCTAAAGTTTGAAGGATTACAATGTATAGGGAGCAGCATCTGTGCAAATTATTGTTTGGCACGTCGTGTTTCTTAGCCCAAGTGTCCCATTGTCACCATGGGTGACAAGGACCTTGAGAGGAGATCCAGAAGGTATCTGGCGTTCTTCTGATACGCTTTTCTAACCATACCTAGAATGTGAGAAAATGCCAGAATGATACCAAGCCTCTATATCACATTAGTTCTGACTTTCTTCATCTGGCTTCCTGTACTGACAGTACACGAACCATCATCAGGCTGTTAAAAGAACTTTCATTCCAGTCAACCCTCATGTGGTTGTGGCCATTGTCTAAGCGCATGATTAGGGACACATGCTTTTTGATAATTTTGTAAGTGGATTTTGTCTTAATCAGAAGTTTGAACTTTAATTTAAATCACTTCTCAGAAATGACCACCAACATAAAAGTAAATAAATAAATGCTGCTGGCTTCTTAAAAAGCTAGGGTATAGATAAAATGAAAACATAGTAACATAATGTACTCTGAAAGTCTTGAAGTGTTTTCTGTTGAGATTTCTATAAATGATAGATGAGGTAGAATTATATCTTTTGTAAAATTGCAGAAACTAATAATGTTATTTTCTGCTTCATCAATACATAAAACATAAAAGTCATAAATTAAGAATTATTTAAATTAAGAAATTATTTGCATTGAAAGCATTCTTCTATTTTTATATGTAAAACAAATGTTTAGTTTGTGTTCTCTCATGTAGACATTGAATTTCAAGGCTAAGTTTTTTCTCACCATTATGAACAACAGGCTAACATTATTCCTGTTGCTAGGAGATGACTATTTCTCAAATAACATCACATGTCTTCTTTTTGTATTAAAGGTAGCAGAAAAAAAATATACACTAACACATATTTTCTCCAAAAACTTAAAGCAGCGGACTCTTTGTGCTATATTATTACATTTTATTATATTTAAGCTTGAGTTACAGAAAGATAGCAGAAGACTTCAAAAGTTGTGCATGGTTTTGATCAGAGTTATATAAATTTGCTACAGAGGAAATTATTGTATGACACATTATTAAAATTATTTTAAGAATTTAAAAAAATGGACAGAGGCTTATCCATATGAGAAATACCAGGTCATTCAAATTTTGCGTTTGCTAAACAAGCATAGGTCTCATATAGATATGAAGAGTGTGAGGGACACAGATCAAGGAATAAACTTTCAGGAGCCTGAGAGTTATCTTCCGAGAACCAGAACTTTCTTAGGACTTATTCTCGATATCATTGACAGTCACCTGCTAAAAATGATTGTTAACTGGAGTTTTTTTCCATGATTTTCACTCACTTGTTATATGACATTGCATCACCTTCAATCTAAGTGGATGCCATTTTCCTCATTCTATAATGAGAAAGCTGAACTGGCTCTGTCTAAACCTTCTTATTGAGATAAACTTGTAAACTATGTGATACGGTTTGGATTTCTGTCCCCACCCAAATCTCATGTAGAATTGTAATACCCAACGTTGGAGGTGGGGCCTGGCGGGAGATGATTGGGTCATGGGGGCAGATTTTTCCATTGCTGTTCTTGTGATAGTGAGTGAGTTCTCACGAGATCTGGTTGTTTGAAAGTGTGTTGCACCTCCACCTTTCTCTCTTCAGCTCAAGCCATGTAAATCATGCTTACTTCCCCTTTGCTTTCTGCCATAATTAAATTTCCTGAGGCTCCCCAGCCATGCTTCCTGTACAGTCTGTGTAAGCATGAGCTAAGTAAACCTCTTTTCTTTATAAATTACCCAGTCTTAGGTATTTCTTTATGGCAGTGTGAGAACAAATTAATATACTGTGATTCAGATAAATGACGATTTTTACTAATTTCATTTACAGGAGGGACAATTGTATAGCTTGGGCCAGGATACGTGAAAACAGGAGATAATGTTTTATAACCTAGTATTGTGTGCACTTGTGTGTGCATGTGTGTTTGTGTATGTTATTAACCAACTCACTATGAGGACAGTTTTTTCCTTAAAAATAAAAAAATGTGATTGTCAGGGACTTAAAATTGTCAGTTTCAAGTTTTAATCCCTCCCCTCTCTCCCTTCCTCCCTCCGTCCCTCCCTCCTCCCCTCCCTCCGTCCCTCCCTCCTCCCCTCCCTCCGTCCCTCCCTCCTCCCCCCTCTTCCCCTCCCTCCTCCCCCCTCCTCCCCTCCCTCCTCCCCTTTTCTCCTCTCCCCTCCCCTCTCTTCCCATCTCCTCCCCTCCCATCTCCTTCCCTCCTTCCTTCCCTCCTTCCTTCCCTCCCATCCGTCCATCAGTCTGTCCGTCTGTCCTTCCTCCCTCCCCTCCCCCTCCCCCTCCCTCCCTCCCTCCCTCACTCCCTCCCTTCCTTCCTTCCTTCCCTCCCTTTATACAGGCCCAGTTAATGTTTTTTATTTTTATTTTTTCATTCCACAGTTGAAGGTATTGGGTGAATAAAGTAAAATTTGAAGGTCTTTGAATTGTTTTTCCTAATTGTGGTTATATCTACTGTCCTTCTATTAACATTTCTAAGGCTCCTTCAATAAAAAATAAAAATGAAACAACTAAAACAATGAAAATATCACAACCATTGTTAAACCATGACAGAAACTTAATGGACTCATTTGGCAAAAGAAATAGGAAGGCCCTACGAATTAATGAGGGATTTCCAGAGTAGATAAAATAAGGTTAATAGCAAATCCAAGAGGACATGCCTCCAGGAATGAGTGCTTCAAGTAGGTGCAGAGATATGTAAAGAGAGAGAAAATGGGATAATATCCTTCTTGAAGATTATTTTGATAAGAAGACTTAGACTAAAGATCTTTTACAGTAGTTTTTTTGATATTTTTATAGAAAATCAGAAAATACAGAGAAAAAGACAACAATTTATCAAGTTAGAATTGACTTACTGTAACTTGAGAGTATAAAATTAATATTTTGTATGGAAATGCTGAATAGATTAAAAAAGAAATGTGAACTACAATAAAAACATATTTGAACTAATTTTAAAAATTTCATTTATAACACGTTATGATTATATCTGACATAGTTCTCATATGTAAGTTTGAAATGATTTTATCTCCTCAAGGTAATAACAATAATAAATGCTGCTATCTATTTTACACAGTAATTATATTTCAATTAGTATTTTAATGTGATACTTAAGCCTGATGATTTCAACTTATTTTAATATTATGACACATGCATGCTAAGAATTCCCTTTTATTTAAATGCGTTCTTTTTCCATTTAATGAAATTATAGGTAATTATAGAATTACAGCTAATTTCAAGAACTTAAAATATATCAGGAACATGAATCTCCATTTTACGGATGAGACGATTGAGAAACACAGATATGCCTTGAGTTACGCTGTCAGTCAATGGCAAAGCCAGAACATGCACCCAGTTTGTGGCTCATAGACCGTGGCTTCAATATTACCCTCTGTTGCCTCTCACATTTTACCACTATTTGTAGAAAGTTCGAATCAGAGTTTTAGAGAACTACAATGCTGAATTCAAGAGTTTTTAACAAATTGCAAGATATTTTTGATTGAGACTCAGAATTTTTCAAAAGTTACATTTAAATTTTTTATAAGACGGTATTTTGTGCAATCTTTTTGTAACATAGTATCAAAATCTGTCATAGTAAGGTGGTGAAAATTAATATCTAAATATACTTTTGTATTGGAGGTTACAAATACATTAAAAGCATTTTAATATTGGGATTAACTATATAATGGAGCTTTTATGTTTTGTGGATATATCTCTTCCTTTGGAGCAGCTAATTACTTGTCTGTCATAGGCTGGAATGTTTTCACTCAGTCCTTCAATTTTTGTGCTAAAGTTGCAACAGTTAAATATACTAGTCTAAGTACTAACTTAACACACTACCCTTTCCTTTTGTTATTTTCAACAGTTATTTCCTTTTTTGAAAAATAATAATTTCTTTCTTCAAATGCATGGCACAGCACTGTTCTCCTTGATATTTCAATATACAAAAGTCAACATTTTTGCTAGCTTTCTCTGGGTTACAAAAATGTATAAAGAGGCACATTTAAAATCCCCTGATAGTATGGTTTCCAGTATTAATAATCTTGTCGAATGCAGGTTCAAACATGGGAGACAGGCTTTTACAACTCATCTATGAATATATCAATGGGCCAAAAATGTAATCTCGTCAAGATTTTTTTATAGAGTCTAATTAATCTTTTGACAGATCCCACCATTGGTGGATTACCAGTAGTACCAGTTCCAACATGAGTCCTGTGATTTCTTATATTTTTAATGTAAATTTATTAACTCTTAACATTTTGGGGGACTTTTGAGCAGCAGAGACTGGTTAATTATGAACTATATTTTCTTCGTGGGGTAAACAATGGCTAATGATCAGGCTTTCCCTTAACATCAGTAAATTCAAAATTGTCTAAACAAAATTAGGCTTCGTAAGGTTCTTCCCTTAGTGTTCTTCAGTGTTGAATGTCCAATTATTATTTAAATCCTTTTCTAAATCCAGCTATTGGATAGCAGAATTTTCACAATATCTTGTTTTGCTTCAGTACCAAGGGATTTTTGAGTGCCACTCAAATGGGGACACAGTTCTGAATTACTGCAAATGAATAACTGGAAGCTTTTATAGAAAATCATGGCCATTGCTATTCCGTTCTGGAGACTGAAGTGTACTCATCATCAGTATGTCTAGTGCTATTTTTAGGGTATTCTTCCACGTTGTGTAATTTCTAAACAGACATTAAAATATGTTTTGTATTTATTCCTCTCTCTTTCCCACAATGCATAAATATAAAATACAATAATATATATGGTGATATCACAGGTGGAGTCAGCCTAGTCGTGCTAATATAAACAATGTGATTACCGTCAATGACAAAATAAATAAAACAGAACCAAACACTTAAAATTCCATGATTCATTATCAAAAAAGTATCTGTTAGTTCAAGTTTGGTGGGAGAAGAATTTCTCATTCCGTTTTATGTTGTGCATGGCAATTAAAATAAAATAGCACAGCAATTATTCCTAAGAATCTGAAATGTCATATTACAATGAAACAGTCAAACCTTATAAGGTCAGAACTATTTTATTTTAGGAGACTGGTGTCAGCATAATAAAGACTAGTTAAGTCTTTTGATAATAAGGTTAAATATCAGCTAAGGTTCAATTTGCTTCTTATGAAGACTTTAAATTAATATGGATAAAATGAAGCCACGTTCTAGGGCTGTATTATTTACAGAGACTCTGGTAAAAGAAAAAAAATGGGGGATTGCCGGGTGCAGTGGCTCATGCCTGTCATCCCAGCACTTTGGGAGGCCAAGGTGGGCGGAACAACCTGAGGTCAGGAGTTCGAGACCAGCCTAACGAACATGGAGAAACACCATCTCTACTGAAAATACAAAATTAGCTGGGAGTGGTGGCGCATGCCTGTAATGGCAGCTACTCGGGAGGCTGAGGCAGGAGAATCGCTCGAACCCAGGAGGCAGAGGTTGTGATGAGCCGAGATCACGCCACTGCACTCCAGCCTGGGCAACAAGAATGAAACTCCATGTCAAAAAAAAAAAAAAAAAAAAGAAAAAGAAAAAAACGGGGGAGGGGGCGTGGGGAGGGGGCTCCGGAAACAGACGATGTGGGTTTGAAACCTGCTACCATCATTTTGAGATGGTGCTAAATGGTGCCTTTTGGTACCATGCCTTTTGAACTTTTGATGCCTCTCCACATTCAGAGACTGTACTACGTTTTATGAAAAGTAATGTGAAGGATCTCCCCATGAGTAACTTACTAGCCGGCATGAGGCTTCCTTTCCCTTAGGAAGCCTCTGCCATCTAGCGCACCGTGTGAAGTGATCTAGAAAGAAGAGCAGAGTATAGAACATCAGTTTTCAACCTGACCACTGCATACATCAGTATCAATTTGGAAGAATATTTAGAAAAATACATGCATAGATACCACCTCAGATATGCTGATTCAGAATTGGGGGTGGAGGTGTGGCAGTGGTGAGAATCTGTATTTGAACAGCACACAAAGAACCCGTCAGTTCATTGCGATAAACACTTGGGAACCCTCATTGTCACCTAGTGTTGAGTCAGAAAAACTTTTGCGTCTCTCTTTACAATTTACTAGTTTTCCACCTCTTATTCCTTCCTTATAATACATACTTTTGTTATCGGGAAGGTGGGAATCCTCAGTCTTTTGTTGTCTTGGGAGAAAGATTTCTGCCAAGAGATAATTTAGCCAGAAATAAAATTTACTGAAGGAAAATGGGAGAGCAGAGAGTTTATATAGCGAGAAACGGTACACTCTGAAAGATGAAGCAGAGCAGGCTGCTGAAACAGAATGAGACACTGCAACCCAGGAGTTCTGCATTGGGTTTTTATGATGTCAGATTTTTTCTTGAAATTCCCACCTCTGTCTTAAGTCTCCACCTTTTTTGGTCTAGTTTTCCCACCTCTATCTTAAGTGTCTGCCTTTTTTGGTCTAATTTTCCCACTTCTGCCTTGAGTCCCTGCCTTTTCCCCACCTAGTATCCACCCTAGGCTTGCGGGATCATCCCTTACTATTAGTTGGTGCACATGCGTGGGCCTGGTGTTGCATGCACATTCTACCTAATGACTGCCTTGCTCATTATCGCCACCTCAGGAAGGTTGTGTAGCAGTCAAATCTATACTTGGTGCACCTGCGTATCTCTTAGGACTTTTCTCCTTTCTCCTCTTGCCGTCCTTAACAGCATGTATCTAGCTCCATTCTGGCACGTTAACTGCAGAGTGAGCGATTACTGGGGGTCTTACGGAGCCTTTCTTTCTGCACAGGTATTTCTCCTCCTCTCTGTTCACATGTAGCATGCACATTTTGGGTGATCTCTGGGGCGTTAGATTTTCCAGACCTCACTTTTCTCAGGGGCTTCCCCCCTCCTGCTCATGTTGACCTGTTTTCCTACTCTAACACATTGAAGGGTAGTTGTGGGAGCATGAGATGTATTTCATATTAACTGCGTTGTTGTAAAGGACTTGACCCCGGTAGGGTTTCTAAATTAGAAATTACTTTCATAATTGTTTTCATCAGCAACACTTACGAGATAGGGATTATAAATAATTACTCACTGGGCCTGGGCATGAAGGGGTTACATTCTTGCCAAAAAATTAGTTCTCTGGAACCACTCTGGAAGTTGGAGTTTTTGTCATAAATCCTGATTTATTTCCAGTTGGATCTTTATATATACACAGCCAAGTCTTCCAAAAGCTGAAGAGTCATATAAAAACATGTTATGTTTTCATAGATTTCTATTTGACGTGCTATTTGTGTATTAATAGTTTGGTCTATTTATTTAAGTCAACACATTCCATTTTCTACTTTTTAATTGTATGGTTTGACTAACTTATTTTGCAGTGTTGTAACCAAATCATTTATTATAGCATCAATTTTTTATCAATCACCTTATAGCATACCTGTATAATTTCGTAACTATCAGTCATTTCTGGGAAGGGTTGCCAATTCCGGAGGTGAAAGGATTACTGTATTAGTCCATTCTAATGCTGCTAATAAAGATATACTTGAGACTGAGTAATTTATACATAAAAAGAGGTTTAATTGACTCACAGTTCCACTCAGTTCTCATTCTATTTCAGCAACCCTCTCTGCTTCGTCTTTCAGAGCATACTGTTTCTCCCTATATAAACTCTCTGCTCTCCATTTTCCTTCAGTAAATTTTATTTCTGGCTAAATTATCTCTTGGCAGAAATCTTTCTCCCAAGACAACAATATACCTCTTTTAATATTAAATTTCACCATGACAATATACCTCTTTTAATATTAAATTTTGCCATGATTGTGAGGCTGGGGAGGCCTCACAATCACGGCGAAAAGTGAAGGAGGAGCAAAGTTACGTTGTACATGGTGACAGGCAAGAGAGCACGTGCAGGGGAACTCCCCTTTATAAAACCATCAGATCTTGTGAGATGTATTCACTATAATGGAAACATCACAAGAAAGACCCAACCCCATGATTCCATTACCTCCCCCAGGGTCCCTCCTATGGCATGTGGGATTTATGGGATCTGTAATTCAAGATGAGATTTGGATGGGGACACAGCCAAATCATATCAGCTGGCATACATCTGATTTTGCATAGCAATTATTCTGAGTTACAAAAGAATATTTGCAGATGCAGGAGAGAAGAACTTTTTATTGTGACGGTGGTTCTATTTTAAGATGGACAAAATGGAAACTAAAGATTTCCCCCCAAAAAGCTTGAGAAGGTGATGAGCTGAGCACTCACACCCTTATGAGGTTTTTCCTTTGCTTCTGGAGTCAGTCTTATTTCTCACTTCAATTTTTATTGTGTTTCGTGCTACCTACCAGCGACTTGTCAGTTTTATCCATGAGGCTGCTGGGTTCCTATTTCTAGGGTAATGACACAGCCACACACATTCCCAGAAATGTGTCTGACAGCTCTTCTCCTTTATATAGGATTAAGAAGCCTCAGAAACCTTAAAATAAAACGTACTATATGATTAAATTCTTACTATGTCTTCTCTTCTCAGAAGGCACCAACCGTGCAATCTGTATTCTATACATTTCCTTACTATCTTTTTAAAGTATTAATTTTAGGAATTAAATTAATTATCTTTCAGTTTTCTTAAAGGCAAATATCACTGCACTAGGTTTTTGTATTGACTTATTATTGATGGCTTTTTTTTTTTAGAGCTGACTATATTCTTAAGTCATTCCTGAAGCATTGTCAATAATATTTATGGTTATGCTGCTGTTCTGTGGCTTACATCTCTATGTGTCTTACTTCTCATTTTAAAGCACATTTGACTGCCATTTTCACGGCAACTCTATGCAACAATTTTTGAGAAGGATAACACTTATGTTTTATGTTCTTTTATGTGTGCTATTTCCTCCTCAAGCACGCAGAATTCTCAAATCTTCTTCGCTCTTTATTCAACCCTCAAAAGCTGGTATCATCAGGAATCAAACTGCCTAGCATGGCAGTAGCTTGACCACTTACTAACCATGCAGCTGGGAACAAGCTTTTCACTTCTCTGGGTCTTAATTTCTACATATACAAAATGAAGATAATAATGGCATGCATTTCATGAAAGTGCTTAATAAATATTAATCATTATTACACTCAACTCCTTTTTTCTCTTTTTTTTTTTTTTTTTTTTTTTGAGACGGAGTCTTGCTCTTTTGCCCAGGCTGGAGTGCAGTGGTGCAATCTCGGCTCACTCCAAGCTCCGCCTCCTGGGTTCACGCCATTCTCCTCCCTCAGCCTCCCGAGTAGCTGGAATTACAGGTGCCCACCAACATGTCCGGCTTATTTTTTGCATTTTTAGTAGAGATGGGGTTTCACTGTGTTAGCCAGGATGGTCTCGATCTCCTGACCTCGTGATCCGCCCGCCTTGGCCTCCCAAAGTGCTGGGATTGCGGGCGTGAGCCACCATGCCCGGCCTACCCTCCACTCTTTAATTCACCCTAGAATGCACACGACTGATTCAGATACCTTGTGACAAATATCCCAGTAAACTTGCAAGACTTTCCTGCAAAGCAGAAACTCCCAAAGGCAGCTCTTGATGCATCCAACAGCCGCAGAAAGATGAGTCTAAGGGCTGAAGTTTGGTGTTTGAAACTCCCTGAAGTCTTATCTCAGAAATGTGACGATACAGTTCATCCTCACGTTAGCAGTCTCTCTCTCTCTCGTCAAAATTGCATTGAGTTATTCCTGACTTGATTCCATCCTGATACTCAGAGAACAATTTCATCCTCCCAATCTTTGGGCATGGCATTGAATTCCAAGAGGCCAGTTGTTCTTCTGTCACTGAGCTGCCCCAGCAGTGTCACTCAGCCGTTGTTGTCCCTTTTGCCAGAGCTTCAGTTTTGGTTTCCATTTTCCTCTCACCTTTGATACTGGTGAAGTGGCTATGTTGTCTTGAGTATACACTCTGGGATTTGTTGTCTTGCACAAAGAAAGAATTAAGGACACAGACACATGTGGGTGGGTTAAGGGGTGGAAAGTTTAATAGGCAGAAGAAAGGAGTGAGGAGAGCAGCTCCTTGCAAGACAGACAGACAGACATCCAAAAAGCGGGTAGATGGCGGACTGCAGCAGATTTTATAGGCAGGCTGGAGAAGGCGGTGTCTGATTTACACAGGGCTCACAGATTGTTTCCATCGGGTATATTGTTTACATAGTGTGGGGAAGGCTGGTTGCCCCAACTTAATCTTATTATGCAAATGGGCTTTCCAGTTGAGCGGTGCCATCTCCTCTGTTCTTTGCTGTACACGTGGCTGGCAAAGAGAAGCGAAGATGGAGCCGCCATCTTGAACATGTCTAGTCCCTGGTTCCTGGGGCACTCACCCATGCAAGCTCCTAGCTTGCTTGTCTATGTCTGCAGCTCAACTTTACAGGCTGCTCTTTGTTAGAAAATAACTTGTTAGACAATAATTTTCATTAAAGAGGAAGGCCTTATGTAGGACTCGCATAACCCTTACTATCTGCCTAAGTGATTTCTTTTTAACTCCTATATCACTAGGACACCCTCTAAACTGGTCCATTCATGAAGGCTTTATCCCATATTTTTAAAGTTTGCTAGGGTTGCCATAACAAAGAAACAAAGACTGAGTAGCTTAAACAACAGAAATATTTTCCTCAGAGTTCTAAAGGCTGGAAGTCCAAGATCAAGGTGCTGGGCAGGGTTGGTTTCCTACAGGACTCTCTCCTTGACTTGGAGACGGCTGCCCTCCTGCCGTCCCATCATATGATTTTTTCTTTGTCAGTGTACCCCTGGTGCCTCTTTGGGTGTCCTATTTTCACTATAAGGCACCAGTCAGGTTGAATTAGGGCTCACCCCTATGACCTCATTTAACCTTACTTACCTCTTTTAATACCTTATCTGCAAATACAGTCACATTCTAGTCCTGAGAGTGTGAGCATCCACGTATGCATTCTGGGGTGTAGGCGGAAGAAGGCATTCAGCCCGTAACACCCTTGTAATACCTTGTTCACACGTTATCCCAGTGATCTTCCTAAAACAGGATGCTCATCCTGCTAACCATCTGATTTTAACTTTTTGCTGTTCCGCGATTGTCTTTAGGTTACTTCCCCATTACTTTGCATGGTGCATGGGAGTTGGCCTTCATAGCTTTTTTAAATGAATTGACTCAGACTGCCTGGGGTGTGCACTGAAGATTGTTAGGCTATGAAGAAGCTCCGGAGTAAGGGTCCTGTGATGTGCTGACAGAGACTGTAATAGAAGCAGGGTTGCAGCACCACATTGCATAGAGAGAAGTTACTAACCCTCATGCAGCCTCTGACTAATTTTCCAGCCTCTGTCTCACCACTTCCTCCTTTTTCTCGACCCTAATAAGTATTGCAGCATCCTCTGTATGTGCCATTGTCTTTTGGTTATCCTTGATTTAGCAAATGTTACTTTTTTATTGGAGAACTTTTTCCTCCTCTTCCTCCTCCTCCTTTGCCTGGCTAACCCATTCTCACTTTAAAGTTTAAGTTCACATTTTACTTATTCTTTGGAACTATCCTGGTCTCTTTTTCTGACTATAATCCTATGGGCTAGAATTAACACGTATCTCAGCAAGTATTAATGTGTAATAAAACTGCTAGCTTATTTAGTTGTGTTTCTGAAGATAGCTTGACCTTGTTTCATTCAACCATAATGTTTTGCACTTAAGAGAAACCCCATGTATTAGATAAGTGACTGGTTTGAACCGTTTCTCATATATGTGTGGCTACATGGAAACATTCACACATTGTTTTCTGTAACAGGAAATAATCAGTCAGAATCAGTAAGAGATAACACCCTAAAGGTGTTGTCCATACATAATTCTGCCAACATCACCTGGGACACAACACCCCTAAGTGTGGGTAAACTATTCACTAGATATTAAATCCAAGTGTACCCAAGATTATAGAAGTAGCTAAATTCCTGCTTTTAATCCTAAAACAGAGCATTAAATTCAATCAATAATTTTAGTTCTATAGTGATCCTCTTTGGCTCAGTAACCCATATCAATAGCTAGGATGATATAGAGACATTTATAATAGGTTTTCTTTGGCGTACTTTTCAAGAATAAATAGTTATATATAGACCTGAGTTGAGTTTCAGCAGAAAACCACTCAACACATTGCTACATCTAGATCCCTGTTTTATGCAAGCATTGCAACTCTATACAGGACCAAACTCTGATAAGAATTATGAATAATTGACTTCAAGGAGACATTTATACCTAGTAAAATTCCTCTTCTTGCTTTTGCTATTGAAACTTGTAATGGCAAATTGAAGCTACTTTAAAACTATGGCAGAAGTCAAGATGAGTTTTTACTCCACATGGTAAATGGGATTGATTCTTAAGAAAAAGTTAACTGTTTGAAGGATTTAATTGAAATGCACTGCATATAGGTAATTAGTGATGCCAGGCTATCTATCTGTCATCATTTTCTGCTGTTAAAGTCACGCTCCTTATGTAACAAATGTATATATAAACTAAATTATATCATCAGCTTACTGGAAAGCTTATAGCTACAACCCAGAACTGTATTCAGAAGTAACTTTCTATCAAGGAGTATTTGTATTTTTCATGGAAAAGATGCCTTAGGCTGGGTTCAACAGGCCTGTTATATTCTTAACGGTTTATTCATTATCTTTGCTGAGGAGTGAGGCAAAGATGTTTATGTACAGATGTTTACTTCTTTTTCGTTTTGTAGGTAGTGCCTCTGGGCTTTTAAGTATTGATGATTTCGTGCTACCTACACTATTTTTCTATTATACATTTGAAAAAGACGCAGTACTTTAATGGGTGTGTTACTTCGTAGTTGAATCTTCTTAATGTTTCTGACAAAAGGGAGGAACACCACTGGGAAGTTGCATTTCTTTACTTCATGTGCTGAAACAATGACATGACTAGGATTTTTTTTTTTCCTTTTGTGACAGAGTCTCACTCTTTCGCCCAGGCTGGAGTGCAGTGGCACCATCTCGGCTCACTGCAACCTCCGCCTCCCGGGTTCAAGCAATTCTCCTGTCTCAGCCTCCTGAGTATCTGGGATTACAGGCGTGTGCCATCAGGCCTGCCTAATTTTTGTATTTTTAGTAGAGACTAGGTTTCACCAAGTTGACCAGGCTGGTCTCTCACTCCTGACCTCAAGTGGTCCGCCTGCCTTGGCCTCCAAAAGTGCTGGGATTATGGGTGTGAGCCACTGCACCCTGCCAGGACTATTTCTAATTGTCTGAATCTTAAGTATAATGATGCTTTACTTTTTAGTGGTGCAGAAAATCATGAAAAGCTAATGTTCTTGATTAATATCATTACATATTAATAACAGCTAATTAACTTTCAGTTGAAGCATTGCAGCTCGATTATATGATCTTTGCATAAATTTTGCCATAATAAAAGTGACCTACATGTTAATACATTTTTGGTTTAATCTTTCTTAGTGATTAATTCACTTACAGAAATATGATGTTTGTTCACAGAGATGTCTTTACTGCATTAATATGATCTTGATTCAGATAAGGTAGTATATGCTTTGTTATAAAAGAATAAAGAAGGAAATATTTTCAGTCCTTTGCAAGAATAATTCACAAAATAATGTTTCATAGCAAAGAAATAACATTCCATAATTGATTACAATCCTAATAATTTTAAAGGAACCTAGAATCGAATACTATTAACCTATTAATTATGTAAATATAACACTGAGAATTAGATACGGGACAGATATGTGAATGTGACGAAGAAGAGAAAAGCAAAGAGATATGCAATCGTGGAGTAAATGCTTAGCCAGAAATATCAGAAATTTAAGGAGAAATTGATTCAATTTTAAAGAGAAAGCTAAGGAAGACATTAGAGCCTTCAAAAAGGAGAAATCCCACAACATAACTACCCTTTTCAAATGAACACAAAAGAGCGTCTTCCTTACTATGTAGAGTAGTAATTAGGGGCCCTCTATTAACCCACGAATAACTAGGGGTAAACTGCAAATAACTGACTGAATTGTAGAAGCCACGGCAGAAGTTTCAGTGCCTCTCAAGTTGGCCAAGGATCCAAGTGGTGAATAACTATCAAATACAGAGTGTGGCACAAATTATTGTTTGGCATATAGTGTTTCTTAGCCCAAATGTCAATGCTGTGGCCACGGACAACCAAGACCTTGGAAGGAGATCCAGAAGATGTCTGGAGTTCCTCTGATGCAGTTTGCTAACCATATCTAGAACTTTGAGAGAATACTGGAAGAATACACAGCCTCTTGGTTATAACTGTAGAGTCAGTTCTGAATTCCACCATCTGACTTCCTCAATGACAATTAGAATCATCATCAGAGCCTGGCATGGTGGCATGCACCTGTACTCCCAGCTACTTGGGAGGCTGAGGCTCAATGATCACTTGAGTTCAAGAGTTCAAGGCTGCGGTAAGCTGTGATTGCACCATTACACTCCAGCCTGGGGGACAGGGAGGGACACCATCTTTCAAAACAAAACAAAAACAAAATAAAATATCATCAGGCTGCTACAACAACTTTCATTGTCATCACCCCTCATTTGGTTGCACCAGTTGTCAGGGTGCATGGTTAAAGAGACATGCTTTTCAATAATTTTGTAAATGGTTTCATGCGGTTCAGAATGCTGCATTTTTATATAGATTAGTATTTCTCAGTAATGACCATTGACATAAAAGCAAATAAGTGGTCTGATGTAGTGGCTCATGCCTGTAATCCCAGTGCTTTGGGAGGTTGAGGTGGGCAGATCACGAGGTCAGGAAATCCAGACCATCCTGGCTAACATGGTGAAACCCCGTCTCTACTAAAAACACAAAAAATTAGCTGGGCGTGGTGGCGGGCGCCTGTAGTCTCAGCTACTCGGGAGGCTGAGGCAGGAGAATCACCTGAACCCGGGAGATAGAGGTTGCAGTGAGGCGAGATCACACCACTGCACTCCACCCCGGACAACAGAGCAAGATTCCATCTCAAAAAAAAAGCAAAGAAAATGGTGCTGACCTCTTAAGAGGTAAGAAACGGATGCCATAAAAGCATAGGATTACAATGTAACTCTGATAGTCTAGAAATATTTTCTGGTGAGATTAATGCATATTAGATATTTTAGAGCCCTACATTTTAGTAGTAATATTGATACTTAACACTTTGTGTGAAATGCTTTAAGATACAGTTGTTATTATGCTATTTTACATGTGAAGACGCTGAACTTAAGGAAGGATAAGGGACTGAGGTCAGCATTCTCTAAGGACACGCCTCCTTTCTCTCAAGTGAATGGTCATTGCATTCCCTGTGCATTATGACATGAATATATAAAGAGGCAGTTTCCCATTTGGATGAACCCCAAAATTAACATGCCCAAAACTGATCTCACTAACCAGCTCTCTAGATGTGGTCCTAACTCCTGGTACTTTAGTTAATGACACCACTGTCCTTTCAAATATCTGAAATAGAAACCTGCAACCATCTGGGAAAACTCCTTGAACCCATCCCTATTAATCGTCTCCCAAGACCTAACCAACCATTAATGGAGTTTTACTTTCTCTCTTCCTTTCTCTTTTCCACCGTCATCTTTGATCAGGTCATCATCCCCACACTTCTTCATTCATTTATTAGTTCTTTGTCTCTTGTCTCCCATACTTCTAATCCATCCTGCACAGAGCTACCAGCGTGAGCTTTCCAAAGCAGAAATAAAACCAAATCATCTCCTGATAAATATACTTCAGTGTCTCCCTGTCCAAATGCCTCACCATGGCCCCAAGGCCTCTGATGGCACTCCCTTTATTGACTTCTGCAAGCATTTCTCCTAGAGACCTCCCTGGACTTCAAACAGTATGTCCTAGTGATGTTAGATTTCTCATGGTCCTAAGAAACACAGCATGCCTTTTTCTTTGGCATTTTCTCCAACAGAAGAACAACACATAATATTAGGGGAAGCTTTCTGGTTAAATTATTTTCTAAATAGTTTGGCAGGAAAGGTGTTGAGGAATTTGTTGGCAGACAGTTTTGGAGAGCATTTTGGGGAGGGTCAACACAATATGCCTAGTATTTTAAGAAAAAACGTGTATAATATTTGAGAAATGAAGCTGGGAGTTATCTAAAAATGAAGATTTTTTTCTGAATTTATAGTATAAATAGAACATAAATCCATTCACTCAACAAATGCTCATTGAGTCAGATGAGTAGACCATGCAGTATTCTAGGTGCTGTGAATGTAGTGAGTATACACACACACATACACACACGCCCCTAATCTACCATGAGCAGTCCATCCCTCATGGTTACCCTTTCTTCTTCTTTTTTTTTTTTTTGGATGCACAGTTTTGCTCTTGTTGCCTAGGCTGGAGTGCAGTGGCACAATCTCGACTCACTGCAACCGCCGCCTCCTGGGTTCAAGCAATTCTCCTGCCTCAGCCTCCCCAGTAGCTTGGACTACAGGCGCATGCTGCCATGCCCAGCTAATTGTTTGTATTTTAGTAGAGACAGGGTTTCACCGTGTTGTCCAGGCTGGTTTCGAACTCCTGAGCTCAGGCAATCTGCCCGCCTCGGCCTCCCAAAGTGCTGGGATTACAGGCGGGAGCCACCATGCCCAGCCCCCTCATGCATCTTAAAGCAATCACACAAATAAATGTGGAACCGCCACTGTAATTGAGATACATATGAAGATGCCCATGGTTCTGTAACAGCCCATGATGAGACCAAATGTGGGGAGATCAGAGAATGCTTTTCTAAGGAAGTAAAATTGATCAGGAATTTATTTAAATAAAGACAGAAATGAATGAACTAAAGATAAGTCCTATGAGCTTTGCATTTAAAATATACTCAGAACCCAATCACTTCTCATTACCTCCACAGCCATGACTCGCATCCAGCCCCCAATGTATTCTCAGCTGGATTGCTGCCGTATCCTACCAAATGGTCTTTCTCCTTCTGACCTTGCTTCTTTACAGTCTGGCCCCAGCACAGCAGCTAGAGTCATACCATTAAAATCTAAGCAAAGTCATATGACGCTTTATTCAAAGTGCTCTCTGATGGCTTCCTAACTCATGTGGAGAAAAAGCAAAAATCCCAACAGAGGCCCATAAATCCCTACCTTATCTTGCGTCTGTTAACATTGACCTTGTCCCTATTATTCTTCTGCCTATTCATGCTGCGCCAGGTACACTGGTCTGGTTGACCCTTCTCAAACTTGCCATCCACAATCTCTACCTCAGGACTTTTGCTCACTGCCCCGGCTAGAATTCTCTCTCCCTTCCTTACTTCTTGTCTTTGCTCAAATTATGCTTTCTGATTGAGCACTTTTCTGACCATTCTCTATCACATTTTGAGTATGTATCCCTCTTTCAGCCCAAGAATTTCCTATCCTGTTTCATTTCCTTTGTTTTTCTTCATAGCACTCATCATCTTCTGAAATGATATATTTATTTATTTATGGTCTATCTTGATAGTACCAGAATATCAGCCCCATGATTTCTTTGTGTTATATGGGCCAGAGATTTTCATCTCTTATTTTGCTGCTCAAGCCCCATTCCTAGAATAGCCTGTGGTTTTTGGGTACATCCTAGATGCTTAATAAATATTTGTTGAATATATGAGCAGATAAGGAGGAACATTTTATACAGCAGTAATAAAATACATACAACGGACTTGTGGTAGGAGAGACCTGGCATACAAGAATAATGGGCAAAGGTTACTCTTCGTGAGTTAAAGGGCTGTCAGACTAACCTCAAGGAAGACAGGAGATAGAAGAAGGTGGATTCAAGAGCTATTTTATAATATTTGGGAGAAGATTATAGTATGAAGAGGATGTATGAGAGGTAAATATAAAGATTAACACTAGTTTTGGGAAGAGATTTGGGAGTAGATTGGATGAGGAGGATGGGTGAGGTAAATATCAAGGGTAACACTAGTTTTGGGGGTAGATTGAAGGAGGAGGATGGGTGGGGGGTAAATATCAAGGGTAACATTGGTTTTGGGAGTAGATTTGGGAGTAGATTGGATGAGGAGGATGGGCGAGAGGTAAATATTGAGGGGAACACTGGTTTTGAGAGTAGATTGAATGAGGAGGATGGGGGAGGGGTAAATATCAAGGGTAACACTAGTTTTGGGAGTAGATTGAATGAGGAGGATGGGGGAGGGGTAAATATCAAGGGGGAACACTGGTTTTGGGAGTAGATTGAATGAGGAGGATGGGTGGGGGGTAAATATCAAGGGTAACACTCGTTTTGGGAGTAGATTGAACGAGGAGGATGGGTGGGGGGTAAATATCAAGGGTAACACTGGTTTTGGGAGTAGATTTGGGAGTATATTGGATGAGGAGGATGGGTGAGGGGTAAATATCAATGCCAACATTAGTTTTGGAGTTGAATAGTTGAGGGTGAGAGGTAAATAGCAAGGGTAACACTGGTTTTGGGAGTAGATTTGGGAGTAGATTGGATGAGGAGGATGGGTGAGGGATAAATATCAATGCCAACATTAGTTTTGGAGTTGAATAGTTGAGGGTGAGAGGTAAATAGCAAGGGTAACATTGGTTTTGGGAGTAGATTTGGGAGTAGATTGGATGAGGAGGATGGGTGAGGGGTAAATATCAATGCCAACATTAGTTTTGGAGTTGAATAGTTGAGGGTGAGAGGTAAATAGCAAGGGTAACATTGGTTTTGGGAGTAGATTTGGGAGTAGATTGGATGAGAGGTAAATATCAAGGATAACACTAGTTTGGGGAGTAGATTAGATGAGGATGATGGGGGAGAGGTAAACATCAAGATTAATACTAGCTTTGGGAATAGATTTGGGAGTAGATTGGATGAGGAGGATGGGTGAGAGGTAAATATCAAGGGTAACATTGGTTTTGGGAGTAGATTTGGGAGTAGATTGAATGAGGAGGATGGGTGAGGGGTAAATATCAATGGCAATACTAGTTTTGGGAGTAGATTGGATGAGGAGGATGGGTGAGAGGTAAAATTCAAGGGTAACACTGGTTTTGGGAGTATATTTGGGAGTAGATTGGATGAGAGGTAAATATCAAGGATAACACTAGTTTTGGGGGTAGATTTGTGTGTCGATTAGATGAGGACGATGGGTGAGAGGTAAACATCAAGATTAACACTAGTTTGGGGAGTAGATTTGGGAGTAGATTGGATGAGGAGGATGGGTGAGAGGTAAGTATTAAGGGAAACGCTAATTTGGGGAGTAGGTTGGATGAGGAGGATGGGTGAGAGGTAAATTTCCAGGGTATCACTAGTTTCCTTGCACTAACACAAGGAATTCTAGAAGATGACCAGATATGGGGAGTAGAAACTTGTGAGTTTGCTATGGACATACTGGGCATAAGTGCTTTGATAATATTCAAGGAAAGCATCACGTGGCCAGATGACATGAAAGTTGAGCTGGGCCGAAGGTAGACATTTATGAGCCACTCAAAGCCCTAGAATTTAGGTATATGCAGTGTCTTTATCCTGGGCATCTCAAACTCCAATGCTCATACACATCATTTGCAGATTTTGTTACAATGCAGAGTCTGCCTGAATAGGTCAGAAGTGAGCCTAACACTTTGCATTTCAACAAACTCCTTGGTGGTGCTGATGCTGCTTGTCCTTGTATCATATTTTGATTAGCAAAGTACCTATTACTATCGAGCCTGTTTAGTTTCTGAATGGAATGAGAATAAAGACCTTCCCCAGAATGAGAATGCAATTAACAATGTTAATGTCTGAAAATCATACACATACAAGATTTAAAATAAGCAAACAAAAATGACGGATAACAACCTTATGCTTGCCAAAATGTTAAAAATATTTGTTTTGGAGTGGTATGAGTGGTTTAAACTCATGAAAATTTTTAATGATCAGTATTTTTAATAGTCTTTTGCATTTTTCAATGCAAATAAACAATCATGTGTAAGCAATGTTAGGACAAAGAATTATTTTTAAGTTTAACCCAATTTCTGCCCTCCTGGGTAACTCTAAATCATATGCTGGACTGGGACTGGGTTGGGAGTAACAGGATCCTCTGAGATTTAAATAAATTTGAATTGCACTCCTTTCTCTCCCTGTACCTCAAGGCAGCGGTCCCCAGCCCTTTTGGCACCAGGGATGGACAACTTTCATGGAAGACAATTTTTCCACAGACCGAGTTAGCACTGGGATGGTTTTGGGATGATTCAAGTACCTTGCCTTTATTACGCACTTTATTTCTATTATTATTACATTATAGTATATGATGAAATAATTATACAACTCTCCAAAATGTAGAATCAGTGAGAGCCATGATCTCGATTTCCTGCAACTAGATGGTCTCATCTAGGGGTGATGAGAGACAGTGACAAATCATTGGGCATTGGATTCTCATAAGGAGCATGCAACCTAGATCCCTTGCATGCTCAGTTGGCAATGGAGTTTGCGCTCCAATACGAATCTAATGCTGTGGTTGATGGGACAGGAGGTGGAGCTCAGGCAGTAATCCCAGCGATGGGGAGCGGCTGAAAGTACAGATGCAGCTTGGCTGGCTTGCTTGCCACTCAGCTCCTATGCGGCCTGGTTCCTAACAGGCCAGGGATCTGGTACCTGGGGATTAGGGACCCTGGCCTCAAGGGACTTTTTAAAAGGGATGTGGTATATGCAGGGTATTTTCTTTTTTATGTTGCCTCTTACTCTAAATCACACTAAATTTTGGGTTTATATTTTTGATTTTCTACTCTAAGCACGAGGCTTTGATTTTGGCAGCATGTTGCGTTAATTGCCACTGCTTCAATTTCTTCACTTTATAAAGTAACAGAAGACCAGGCTGTGTGCAGGGCAACGTTTGACCATGATTTTGGGTTAGCACTGGGAGGGTAAGGCATTGGTTATCAGCAAATAACAAAGGAAAGTGCTTACAATTAAAATGTAGGCAGCTATTTTATTAATAGTGCCTCAGTCATGCGTACCTCCCGGTACTTTTGACCAGCCATCCCTACACGTAGAAGGAAGAGTTCCTAACCCAGGACAGTTCACTTGTCTCTGTACCACACATTCTCCTCCTCCCTTCACTTCATTGTTCATCCAGAATTCCAGGTTCCTACTTATGTCTGTAATGGATATGGATGTTTTTGTAACAAAAACAGGATATGAAAAAGATGAAACTCTATTTCTCTTATTTTCGATCTCTCTTTCTGCTTAACTAAAGAACACTCATTTCTGCTCGTGACAGAAAAGCTAACCTTGACAAGTGAGGGTGACTAGGTTATTTCTGTACTGACATATGATTAGTTTAGGGTTTTCCTTAGTCATTTTATGATTTTCATATGATTCATGCTCCCTTAAAGGAAAGAATCCCTGAGGCCTCTTCTGCTCTGAGCACGTTGCTTACCCACCTTGATAGACCTCTCAGGGCATATGAATCTCTTATCTTTATTTTTTTACTATTAGTATTTAGAGGACTGGTCTTGCTTTATCACACAGGCTGGAGTGCAGTGGTGTGATCGTAGCTCACTGCAGCCTTGACTTCCTGGGCTCAAGCAATCCTCCCACCTCAGCCTCCTGAGTAGCTAAGACTATAGGCATACACCACCACGCTCGGCTAATGAATTATTTATCTTTCTGGTACGTTGTTGGGGAGTACAGAACAGTGATATGGGGACCCTTGCAATCATCCTCCTATGTAATTTTCTCCATTACTACTGACATACCTCTCAGACACCATTTTGAATATGTGTTCCCTAATAATTTTGTGTCTTTCAAGTTACCACTCAAAAGTAGTCCACAGACCCTTCTCCTCTGGGAATCCCATAAACTTAACTGGGGTTTCTACTGTCCTGGGAGGTTTTTTTCTCCCATCGAGTGTTTACAGTGCAAACTTGATTCCCTGGATTCTTAAGAGAAATCCACACTCTTAGAGTCCCATGAAATAGCTTTTCATTTTTAAGAGCCTATTAAATACAAAATTGTTTTTGGAATCACTAAGTTGAGCAATTACTCATTTTTCCAGGCTTCGTAATCAATGCCCCCCCTCCCCACAAATGTTATTGATTCATTTGTTAGAGGGCCAGTGGGGCAACTTTAAATATCCAGAAATAAATGAGGGTAGCAGTTTTCTCTCTTAGTATTTCAATGGTATTTTTCTTCTACATATCTTAGGAAAAAATGCATAGTTATAGCTTCCTTCGTTATCCCAGAATGCAGTATTTTCACAAGGAAACATTTCTATTAAGATGTATTGACAATATATATAATAACGTTTTTAGGAATTCCTTGGCTAACTATTAGAATAACAGTTTTTTTTTAATATGTTGTACTGCATTGAAAATGTTAAGAAAAAGGCATAGCTTCATCAGCTGCATAGAAATGAAAAGACGATTTGAAATATAATCATTTCTACCTTATAGTAAAGGGAAGGAAAACACTATTCTCAATCCATATTTAGGCCAATAATGAATTTTATAATATAGATAAAAGAAGCTTGTCAAGACAGCACTAGCAAATACAAGTTTCTATAGAAACACTAAGGAAGAGATGTTGAAGTTAGTTTTATGTAATCTCCATTGACTTTAAAAAGTATAGTATATCTTAAAAAAAAAGAAAGTATGGTATATCTTATATGATGGGGAATGTGGGTGACTTTCTTAGCATGTTTGTCCTTTGTTTTCAGAGTTTTTTTAGAAGATGGAGTATTTGTATACCTTTATATTGGATATGATTGATTTTTGTTAATATTACTAAATGAATATTATACTGTTTGGATATCACAGATACTGTATTTTTCTAAAGAATGAGATGTATCCCCTAAATATCCTCCAAAACAATATATTTTAAATCACCATTTCACTCCTGGAAAACTTATTGTGCATTCCAGGGCCTATCTGGTTATACCTTAAACATGAGGATGGTAGGCTCAAATAAGAAATGTTAAATAGAATCATAATTATATTCATAGTGATTATTGTAATTAAATTCACTCTGTGTTTTACTTGTGAATTACTTGACATTGAGACGACACTGACAAAATTTCTGCTGCTCTGAAAGTTTGGGAGCAAATTAATTTTTCAAAACACTACTGGCAATTTAATACACGTATTAATTGATATGTAACTTTATGCAATGAAATTGTTGCCTGAAAAATTAATTACCTTTTCCTCCGTTTGGGTTAATTATGAAGCAATACAACTTCAAATTAAAAGTGTAAATGGTTTAGATTTAATTACATTGTGTTCATTAATAATGCAGGTAAGTTTCTTCCAGTAAAGATGCCCAGGATCAAAGAATATTTTCCCAAAAGATTCTTGGAATACTTCTACTAATATTTTGGAGAAGGATGACTGGGTATGTAAGTGGAAGATGAAAGTATACTAATAAGAAAAGTTACTAGTGGGATTTCTGTGCAGAGTCAGGTAAAATATTCAACAACTATTACAGTATTTGCTTAATACAGTGAGTACAATATTTCACAGCAGAAAGATGATCAGTTATTGGCACAAAAATGAAAAACTGATACTATAAAATGCATCACAAACAATAACAGGATTTATATAGAAGAAGGCCTATTATTTTCCTGTCTGTACAAAAGTTATTTTGATATTTGAAATGAATTCATTTCTGTTTTGAATATTTCCTCTCCTGGATAAGTTTTGTTGGAAATTTTTAGTGTTTTGATGTAGTGCCACAGTATCTCTACTTTTATACAGTATATTTCATTCTTATCTATAATGTACTTTTTGGTGCTATTTTATAATACTTAAATATGCAAAAAGATAACTTCAGAAATCACAGAATCACTGTGGTAAACAGTTTTCTAATTATAGTAATTTTAAATAATGTTTCTTCTTTGCTATACTGTCTTTATGCAGAACAAATAGTTAAATTTGAACTTCAGACATGTAATAGTTAATTTAAAAATCTTTTAAATTCATTTCAGGGAAATTATATTATGATGAATCTCAATTAAAATATATAAATTAGCCATTTTTATTCTCCTCCTTTAATTTTTTCCACAATTACGTTTTAAGAACATTTTATATTTAATCCTTACTGAGTATTTATAACAAAATTTTAATCCATTATCCCACATACAAAAATACAGTGGCAATTTATGGAAAACTCAAATAGATAACAAACTTTTATTATTAAATTGACAGGTCACAGAAGTTTGCCTTAGGCTTCTCCAGCTCACTTTTACATGGAGAAGAACCAGGTCAGGAGAGATAATCTTGCACTTAGAACATTTTCTCCAATTAGGTCTCAACCTAGAAGTCTCTTAAAACTGTTGTATAAAATTTTAAAACATTGAATATTGTAACACTTAGTCTAAATGTGTAATTGGCATATATATATAATTTAACATTAAAATACTATTTCAGATTTCTACCTGTTCGAAAGGAAATTATAATTTACCTAAGATCAAATACTTTACCAAGAGCAAATCCCTTCTAATTTGTTCAATTACTGCTGGGGATTTGAAATGTGATAACCAAAAATCTCAAAGCTATTTATTGTACCAGTCAATGGTGAAAATGCTGTGCGTATCAGTCAAATTGCCTTCCATTTAAAAGCTGGGTTTTTAGAGATATTTTGTGTGCGCCGAAGTAAATTATCTTTTCTACAATTTACTGTAAGAACCTTAGTGGTAATTACCAGTTTGCTATATTAAGAGTTTTCTATAATGTGTAATATCAAACTTAAGAATGTTCTGTACATGTATATATTGTTCATATATTTAGGGAATTTACTGTAATGCATATGAAACTTAAAAATGTTCCATACCTGTATATATTGTTCACATATTTACTGTAATTTACTGTAATGCATAATATCAAACTTAAAAATGTGCCATACATGTATATATTGTTCATATATTTAGTGTAATTTACTGTAATGCATAATATCAAACTTAAAAATGTTCCATACTTGTACATATTGCTCATATTTAACGAGTGGTTACTAATTCAATAACCCCATCTCTAGTTATTTCAGAATTTCATGGTAATTGGAGCCCACACCAAAGACCAATTCTGAAAGTTTTCATCTGTTTTCTGCCACATTCATTTCCTTTGAAAACAAGGCATTTGCCTTTTGACTTAAAGATTTATTGTTTC
Source organism: Homo sapiens (assembly GCF_000001405.40). NCBI lineage: Eukaryota > Metazoa > Chordata > Mammalia > Primates > Hominidae > Homo > Homo sapiens. Next base: position 14,985,832 of record NC_000008.11, on the reverse strand, counting down.
TAAAATCCTAGTCCTAAAAAACTAAATATTCAATGAGTAAGTCTAGATGTTCATTGGTGTTTCACAGAATGTTCTTCAGCTACCTGGCCTTGCAGATATAGCCTGTGTTGTTTTTCTGATGTCCTAAATGGACTACTGTGATGCCCTCTACTTGAGCCCATCCTTGAATTACTCCTGGATGCTTTGACTTGCACACAATGCAACAATTCATTTCTGGCAGTGAACTGAATGGAATATATTAAGCACACATCCTGCATTCTGAACTGCTTTCTGTTTACTTTGAATTCTAATTCAAGGCACTGAGGTCAGACTCTGAATCTCTGGGCATTTTAGCCCCTGGTTTTCTCATAAATTTTTAGTCTCATTTGCTCTGCCTCTTAGTGGAAAGTTGCCTGAAATAAAGTGACTTCATGTGTGTTATTTGAGTGTAGGAAACAGAGCAATGCCTTTCTTTCTCCTTTCGTCAGAGAAAGCATGAAAATATGCCTTCTCATGTATAAAACGGGGCATGAGAGTATACCAATGCTGTCACCAGCTTCAGTGACATTTTATGATTTTGGATGCTTTATTCTCTCCATTCTAAGGGATAATATAGAAAAAAAGGCACCTTGATACAGTTTTCTTTAATTTCAGTAAAATTTGCTCATCTAGGAAGTGAGAAGGGAGACAACAATAAGCATCCAAATGTATTCATTTCAAACTCTAAATCCTTCAAGAATATTTATGTCATTCTTTCGTATTTGACCATTGGGTATTGGCTTGCCTTCAAATAAACAGAGCTTGGCAGTAAAGAAATCAGGGTACCGTCAGTTTAATAAAGCATCGTGATATTTTTAAAGAAAAACAAGGATTATTACTGTTGTTGTTGGAATCTACAGATACTGTGGCCCAGAAAAATCCACAAAAAAAGTTATGAAGGTGGCACAAGTACTCCAGAATATCAAAATCTCTGTGTCAACTACAGCAACAAAATTGCTATTGAAAACGTCCCAAAACACAAAATGCTAAACTACACTACACAGAAAACTAAAAATATAAATATACCCTGCCAAAGTAATTTAATTGTAGCTCAATGATTAAAAGTGTCTTGGAAGAACATTACATAAATTAGAAACCTCGGTCAAATTTTTCATATTACATTATTCAAAAGATATGTATTGCCAGAAAATCATGCCTGAATATAACCAAGCATTTGGATCGAATGACCAAAGTTACAGGATATACAATGGTCAGAAAAACCTGTTAAATGATATTGTGTGGTTGCAGCAACAAAATCCAGACTATAGCACGCTTTATAGAAGGAAAAAAGCCTATTTTGTTATAAAACAATATCAGATAAGAAATAGAGAGGAAAAAAAATCTATAGATTAAAGGAGATTTAAGAGACATAAAAATAATCTCTAAAAATGAATTTTTATTTGGTTTAAAACAAGTACTTTAAAATATCATAAGACAATCAGGGAAATGTAGATACTGACTTGTGATTTGTTGATATGCTACAGTTTTTATGGTTCTATGTATAATAATAGAATTGCTGTTATGTTTCATCATATTGCCACTATTTCATACTGAAATGGTTGCAGATGAAATGTTTTGCTGTCTGGAATTTACTTCAAAATAATTTGAGAGGATTGGAGAGTATGGATAAAACAGTAGTGGCTCTGGGTTGATAATTGTACATGTGGGTCCATTATACTACAGCGCTCTCTATATTTATGTGTGTGGTTGTATTTTCTGTAATAAAAGAGTAAAGATGTCTTTCAAGTTAATTTTGATGAATCACTGCCATTCAGCTAAATATTCCAATTTCACTCCACTTTAGTACATCTTTATAAATGTTAAGTACTGATTGGGTATAAGTCTAAATTAAAAGCGAGTATTGGTTGAAACAACCTGAGATAATAAGAGTTTGTGGTACATTTATAATAAAACATAATTGTATATAGTTGAATATATAAAGGTACTCAAAAGATATAATAGATATAGAATGCAGTTGGGCTTTATTATGATATAGTAAAATATGGAGGAGCTCAGGCAGTAGAAAACCAGGGCCCAGTACCCTCCTTTGCTACTTGTCTAGTTTTAGGAAAGCCACTGAGCCTCCTTAGCCTCAACTTCATCATCTGTAAAAATGGTTGTGAGAATTCACCTCAAAGGAATATTGTGGATATTTAACAATTAGTGACAAGGCTGGGCACGGTGGCTCACATCTGTAATCCTAGCACCTTGAGAGGCCAAGGTAGGAGGAGCGTTTGAGGCTGGGAGTGTGAGACCAGCCTGGGCAACTTAGCAAAACTCCACTTTTATAAAAATTAAGAAATACTACTCTGGAGGCTGAGGTGGGAGGACCACTCAAGCCCAGGAGGTAGAGTTTGCAGTGAGCCAAGATCGCACCACTGCACTTCAGCCTGGGTGATGGAGTGAGACTTTGTCTCCAAAAAATAAAAATAAAAAAAAATAAAAATACATTAGCCAGATGTGGTGGTGTGTGCCAATTGCCGTAGCCACCTGGTGTGCTGAGGCAGGAAGATCCCTTAAGCCTACCAGTTCAACCTGCAGTTGGAGGCTGCAGTGAGCTATGATTACACCACTGCACTCCAGCCTGGGCGAGAGAGTGAGAACCTGTCTCAAAAAAAAAAAGAAAAAAGAAAAAAAAAAGGAGTGACAGCACCGAATACAATGAAATAAGCACCAGCAGGTACATAATACTTACAATGTTCTCAAAATCTTATTAACATGTATTAACTCATTGAATCCCCAGAACAACCCCTTGAGGTATTTGTATTATCAGTTTTTATAGATGAGGAAACCAAACCCAAATGATTCAATGACTTACTCCAGGCCAAATAGCTAATAGGTGGCTAAATTGGGATTCCAACTACTTCCTCTGTCTCCGGAATTTGCTTTTTAACCAAGTATATGCCATATAGCAAAATGGCACATAGTAAATGCTAATAAAAGTTTGAACGATCAGTAGCAGTTGCTGCTTATAGTGGTAGGACGGGCCAAATAAGTGAATATTTCTGTTGTATTCATTATCGTCACCCACCCCTGAATTATATCTAGAATTTTCAAAATAAAGATTAAAAAAGTGCTATGATTTAGTTTTCTCTATAGCAATGGAAAAGGTGATATATTTGACCACTTACAATGTAAGAATAACTGCACTTAACGCTTTACCTAGATCGATTTAGTTCATTTACAATAGTCTCAGAAGTTAAATAGGGTAGGAAGTACTGTGCCTCTTGTTTAAATGAGGAGAGAGGAGGTAGAAGACAGTGAATAATTTGCCAGATAGCATATCACGTGGGAGGAGTCAAAGCTGTTTACACTGTGAAATGTAGTAGAGTTGACTCCAAAGCCCATTGATACAATTACACTCTCATTACAATCTTTTGAGAAATATGTTATCTCATTTTTCTGTATGATGAGACTGAGGTTCAGTGAAATTAAATAATTTGTGTATATCACACAACGAACGAATCATAAAGCAAGTATTGAAATCTGGCTTGGCCTATCTTTGAACTCCACGGACTTGGCAATATGTCACGTAATGGTAGTATTTGCATTCAGTCCCTTGAGACAATAACCAGCAGCCCTAATGTCCAGCAAAAATGATCCATTTCAGTCTTAATTGTATTTTCAAATAATGTCATTTCCTTTTTTTTTTTTTTTGAGACAGAGTCTCGCTCTGTTGTCCAGGCTGGAGTGCAGGAGTACAGTGGCGTGATCCTGGCTCACTGCAAACTCCGCCTCCTGGGTTCAAGCGATCCTCCCACCTCAGCCTCCTGAGTAGCTGGTATTACAGGCATGAGCCACCACGCCTGGCTAATTTTTGTATTTTTAGTAGAGATGGGGTTTCACCATTTTGGCCAGGCTGGTCTTGAACTCCTGACCTCCAATGATCTGCCTGCTTCAGCCTCCCAAAGTGCTGGGATTACAGGTGTGAGCCACCACCTTCAGCCTAATGTCATTCCCTTTTGAAATGATGTTTGAGTAGAGAATATACTTTATCTGGCTGTTATATTTTTAAGTAGAATATGCACTATGATTAAAATATTTGGTGGGTCTCGTTCTTTGGGGCTATAAGCGGAGCTATTAATTGTCATGCTTGTTTCTCCTGTGTATATTTATACACATCCTGTTCATAGAATCATGTACATTGGCTGTGGTGAGTTGACACCATCATGTGAGTTGGACCACATGAACAAAAAGCCACTTGGATTTAAGTTGGGATAGAAGAGAATATAGAGGGATATAGTTCCAATCTTAGTTTTTAATAAATTGTTTAAATGGTTAAGGAAATTTCATGCTGATGATTATTCTTATTGCGAAATGAAGCCAGGTTTCCCTTTGATTTTTCTCATAGGCAGCTTGAAGAATTAACTCAGTTCGTTTCAGTAGGCATGAAAATTTTACCAGTTGATTCTTCTCTCAGTGACTCACAGAAGTGAAAACAAATCTAAATTCTACTGTGTTTAGGTAGCATCTTAACACAGGTGAAAAGACAACGTATTCAGTTTTGAAATATATCCTGATAATAATAAGGAATGTGAACTATTATGTAACTGATTTACTTTAAAGCTGAGTTAATTGGGCAAGATTTGTTAGAAGAGATGGGATTTGAACTGAGTGGCTGAGGGGAAATTTAAACAAGGATAGAAGGGTTTCACATTAGGAGGAGTTTCAGTGAAAGGCTAAGGGAATGTGCTCTATTCCACAGCAAATATGAGTTGGTAGGAGATTTCTGAGCAAGGGAAGAAATTTTTATACAAGCCATATTTAATTAAGATTTAGTAGGGCAGTCCGATTTTTGGTGAATTGTGTCAAGGCAAGTTGAGCAAAGGGAATGCTATTGTGCATCTGGATGTCCAGTAATGAGGCATGGTGGGGAGTAGGTGGTAGAATTGAGAAGCGAGATAGACTAAAGATGGGAATGGATAGCACAAGTATGCATGGATAGATAAAAGATAGATAGAGAGACAGATTATTAATAGATAGTGATATGGTTTGGCTCTGTGTCCCCACCCATATCTCATCTTGAATTGTACTTCCATAATCCTCACATGTTGTGGGGAGGGACCCAGTGGGAGATGATTGAATCACAGGGGCAGTTTCCCCCATAATGTTCTCATGGTGGTGAATAAGTCTCATGAGATCTGATGGTTTTATCAGGGGTTTCCGCTTCTGCATCTTCCTCATTCTCTCTCTTTGCCTGCTGCCATTCACGTAAGACGTGACTTGCTCCTCTGTGCCTTCCACCATGATTGTGAGGCTTCCTCAGCCACATGGAACCATAAGTCCAATTAAACCTCTTTCTTTTGTAAATTGACCAGTCTCGGTTATGTCTTCATCAGCAACGTGAAAACAGACTAACACAGATAGATAGATATTTCTATATCAATGAAGACAAACATAAAAATGTAATAAAAAATTAGACCCTCAAAATGTGGGAGATTATTTCTGATGTCAAGTCAATACTTGGGTATCCCAGGTCTCTGATTAATGAGTAGATTCCTTCTTACTTGTTACTCTGCCTTCCTCTGGACCGTCTCTGTTCTTCGTGATCAAATCTGGCTCAATTTCCGTCCTTAGGATCAGGGAAAGAGCACAGTCAGGCCAAAACATTTCATTTTAAGCTAGTGATCGTTTCCTTCCTTACATCCACCATAGACCACAGGTAAGAATTCCACTGCATGGCCATGTCTTGCCACCAGAAAGCACAAGCCCTCATCTCTTTGCACTGATAGGATCTCCATCACTTTACTTTTCAAAATTTTGGTATCTGCATTGGTAAATCAGTGTTTCCCTATTTCCTAAGTTTGTCATGAAGGATACTTGAGGTAATAATTTTAAGCATGATTCCTAAAATTTAACAAGGTTGTACAAATATGTTATTACTAGCATTTAACACACAGTGAGAAAAAATACAAAATAAATAAATGGAAACTAGATTTACGAAATTTACTATGCCCTAAAGGGAAAACACAAAGCTGCATTTTCAATCACTTGTTTCATTTTAAGGATTACTTGTCATCACCTGCCCAAAGCTATCACTGTCTATTCATATCCTAATAACCAGTCTAACATATTTAGGAAAAAGAAATGAAGAACTTTTTTAGTGTAGAATATTGGTTGATTTAAAAGGCACAGCTTCGAATTCATATGTGGTATTAATAACAGTGCCTTTGATTCAAGTGCAGTTAGAAAACATTTTCTAAAATGCAGTTTATGGCCAAGGTTGCTTTATTTACATCAAGTAAAGTTTTCTCAGGGGAGAAAATAAGGTAGCAGTTTACATTAAAAAGCAACACTGAACAACTGTAGCAGAAAGACATAATAAGGCATATCCATTAAAATTTCCAAAAGAGATTATGTAAGCCTTGTACATTACTTCCCATCCTTGTAGATTCTTTAATTTTTAATGGCTACAAATTTCCTGGATCCTGGTTTTTGAATTATAGATGCAGATAGTTTAATATAAATACATTGAAGATGAAATTTAGCAATTCCAAAAACATCTGCCTGTTGGGATGAAATTTGTGAGTATTACAGTCATACATGTTTAACTTTTTAATGACAAGAATTAGGAGTAATTAAAATTTGTTTTTGATGTTACCTGAGATGATATGCTTGATGATATTCAAGTTAATGCCTTTTAGTGTATTCATAATTTTTAATATTTTCCATTGTTTTTCATATATGCCTTGCCTCTGTAAGAAAATAGTAAACTTGGCTGAGTGTGGTGGCTCACACCTATAATCCTAGCACTTTGGAAGGCTGAGGCAGGTGAATCACTTGAGCTCAGGAGTTTGAGAACAGCCTGGGCAACATGGCAAAACCCAGTCTGTATCAAAAATATAAACATTAGTTGGGCGTGGTGGCACATGCCTGTAGTCCCAGCTACTCAGGAGGCTAATATGGGAGAATGTCTTGAGCCTGGGAGGCAGAGGTTGCAGTGAGCTGAGATCGTGCCACTGCACTCCAGCCTGGGTGACAGACTGAGACCCCATCTCAAAACAAAACAAAACAAAAAATTGTAAACTCTGATGGCAGGAAATCCGTCATCAATTTATCGGTCTTCTTTAGTGTTTGAGAAATACAGATGGCCCACCAAGCTTTACTTTATTAAAGAAAGGTATTTCATAGCATAGAATGCAAAGGAAAGTGAGATTTGAAGACTTGTTTCAGGCCTAGTGGAAGTTGGGATGCAGCTGGCAAAACCTAACTTAGGCGAAATGGTGATAAAATCTGGTTTACAAGATCAAGCAAAAGTCTCTCTGACAGAAATTTAAGGTGAAATACACCAAATGCAAGCAGATACAATTTTTTTTTTTTTTTTTTTTTTTTTTTTTTTTTTTTGTGACGGTGTCTCACTCGGTCCTCCAGGCTAGAGTGCAATGCCGCGATCTTGGCTCACTACAACCTCCACCTCCCAGGTTTAAGTGATTCTCCTGCCTCAGCCTCCCAAGTAGCTGGGAATACAGGTACCCATGGCACCACGCCCAACTAATTTTTTGTATTTTTATTAGAGGCGAGATTTCACCATGTTGGCCAGGCTGGTCTTGAACTCCTGACCTCAGGTGATCCACCCCCCTCAGCCTCCTAAAGTGCTGGGATTACAGGTGTGAGCCACCACACCCGGCCAGCAGGCACAATTTTTAAAGAAACAAATACAAAATAATCTTTTGAAACTAACATAAAAATGCAAAGACATAGAGTAGAATGGAGGTAGCATATGAGAACATGAAAGTACGCACCTAGCCGCGACAGGAAAAGAAACTTCAGAGCTATAAATATGAGGTCAACAGAGGACAAAAGATGATAGCATGACATCATCCCCAAATTATAAAGAAATGGAATCAAATTTATGCATTTGAAAAAAATAAACAATATTTAGATATATATGTGTGTGTATATATGTGTGTGTGTGTGTGTGTGTGTGTGTGTGTAAAATTGTTCTTGATTTTAAAGCCTGATAACTAGTTCATGATATGATGAATATTTTTAGAAAAATATATCTCTTAAAATCATAGATAGCTTTTTGGTTTAAAAATATGGAAAGTTTCATCCCTAAGAGGTCTGAGACAATAAAAAATATGTAGGGAGAGAGTTTTGAGTCTTGGGATTGAACTTTTCTCAAAACTTTGGGCTTTTCTTTGGTGTTCTTGTGGTGTAGTCTCAGGCAAGATTTTGCATATTTTTAAGCCTTTATTTTCCTGTATTCTAAATGTAAATGATGATGTTACTAGGATTAAGGTGATTGGCCTGTAAAATACCTGTCACTGAGCCTGGAACATAATAAACTCTCTTTGTTAAAATGTAAGAAAATATTAGATGATGTGGATGAAAGAAAGTAATGTAGTAGTTAGATAAAATGATAAAGCACTACTCTTTAGAATTGGTGATAAAGTAATGTTTTTCAGCATATTAAGTAAATATTAAATAGCTGTTTAGTGCTGGGTACATGGATTGTCTCATTAGTCATTAAGCAAATGTTCATTTAGTGCCTTTGTTTGACCAAGCTCTGTTCTCCATGCTGGTGGCAGCTGCTAGCAAGGGTGAGTTCTCACCGGTAAAGAGATCTGTGGGGAGGGATGGGGTGGAGGCTTCACTGTGAAGAAGACATAGCGCCTTCCCTCAACGAGTTCCTTCTAACAGAACACTCTTTCCTATGTTTCTGTATACCAGTCTGTCAGGGAAACTGTATCCTTTGGTGAATAAATACTTTCCGTGAAAAGGAGTTACCAGAACAACAGAGAGAAGTAAACTTCTTTGTGGGCAAAGACATTGGTGTTTGTAGACTCAAGGATGCTCCATGTGCTATTGCATGTTTGAAATGTATCTCTCACAAAGAAAGTGAAACTGCAGAAAACTTTAATCATTTGAAATTTAAATTCAACAATGTACGTCACTCAAATTTTAAAGCCAATCTTTTTCTAGAACTTAAGCCACTACATATGGTAGGTTAAGTGCTGAACTTGGCCTATCTACACTTTTTTGGTTGTTAGCATTCAGAATGGAAGCAGTACACATGTTCTGTAATTCATGAATTGTAGAGTAGGATTAACATTTAGCTCAAGATTAACACCGGTGTGGGATGGTGTAAGTTTTTCATCTTGCTTTGTCATATTTTTGTACTCTGTATCTATGCTGTGCTTTTTATTGAATGCCACAAATATTCTCTTGCTAGGGTGAAAGTGACGTTGTTACAAGTGAAACTGTGTTTGACCTTATGTGTTGTTGTCAGAAACTTCACAGCTAGAGATAGACAGGGTGTAAGGGTCATAGGAATAGATATCTTAAATGTATTTATAAGCAACAAAGCAACTTGTAAAATACATCTAACAAGTTAAAAATAAAAAAATTGGAATGGTAATGATAACTAAAGATAGTAATATTAGGTCACAGGGAATATTAGTATATAAGATTTTGCACATTTAGATTTATCAGTTTCTAAAAAGTGTCACACATATGGCCCTGAACTTCCTAGTCAAAATATATAGGGAGGGACAGGCGCGGTGGCTGACACCTGTAATCCTAGCACTTTGAGAGGCCAAGGCAGGTGGATCACTTGAGGTCAGGAGTTTGAAACCATCCTGGCCAACATGGTGAAACCATGTGTCTACTAAAAACACAAAAAATTAGCCGGGTGTGGTGGTGAGCGCCTGTATCCCAGCTACTTCTGAGGCTGGGGCGAGAGAATCGCTTGAAACCAGGAGGCAGAGGTTACAGTGAGTGAAGATCGTGCCACTGCACTACAGCTTGAGCGACAGATTGAGGCTCCATCTCAGAAAAAAAAAAAATATATATGTGTATATATATATATATGTATATATATATATACACACATACACACACGCACACACATATATATGTTTATGGAAATGCATTTGAAAAATATAAACAATGTTTAGATATGTGTGTGTATATATATGTGTGTGTGTGTGTGTGTGTGTAAAATTTTTCTTGATTTTAAAGCCTGATAAGTAGTTCATAACTATTTCTACACACACACACACATATATATATATATATATATAAAAGTGGAAAAAAGTGGAGTTACAGATATTATATTGTCAATAAGGTAAAAACATACTATTTCGTAAGAGAAAACACAGCATTTTATCATCACCAAACTGGGGAGAAATCACTGCTGTGTAATTGTCCCTGAGATATACACTGAGTCCTATATTAGGTTACAAAGCATACTACACATATGCCATATAATATCTGTCAGTGGAAGCTGAAAATCCCGTGTTAAGATACAATCCAGTGAAAACAATCTCACTGGGTCAAAAACAGTGTTCAAGTGGGTCAGCTCTCCTCATTTAGGGAAAAATCTAGATTGATAGCATGGAAGCCTACATATCTTTCAGATTGTTGTCTGTGAATGTTATTTACACATCCAGGCTTTTGATAAGAACCAGGAGAGGATTTTCTTCTCATTGTGCTTCGATGGAACGCTGCTACACAATTCCCCTTTGGATGAGGCTGGAATTCTTTTTTGTTTTTGTTTTTGCTTTTGAGTTGGAGTTTTGCTCTGTCGCCCAGGCTGGAGTGCAGTGGTGCGATCTTGGCTCACTGCAACTTCTGCCTCCCGGGTTCAAATGATTCTCCTGCCTCAGCCTCCCAAGTAGCTGGGGCTACAGGCAGCCGCCACCACACCTGGCTAATCTTTTGTATTTTTAGTAGAGACGCGGTTTCACCATGTTAGCCAGGATGGTCTCCATCTCCTGACCTTGTGATCTGCCTGCCTCGGCCTCCCAAAGTGCTGGGATCCGAGGCTGGAATTCTTATAGATGTGTGTCTTTTTGAACATTGCCATAATCTAGATCTTGGAGACATAGCAGAGAGATAACCTTAAGTCCCTTTTCCCAACAGATTACTGGGAATTTCAAATTTCCCACAGTTGGTCCAGATTGGAGGCAGAGTGATGTGCTGTATTTCCTTTTTTTTTTTTTTTTTCCTAAAATCACTTCCCTCTTCATTCGTCTTATGTTTTCACCCAGTTGAATTTGCCAAAAGTAATTTTGTTTCCAAGTACTTTGTTCATTGTAGTATCATGGACTATAGTTCACAAAAGGATGTGTGCCTCATAGGGTGGTTGTGAGAATTCCCATGAAATCATGCACGAAGAGTTCTTAATACAGAGTTCAGTGCAGCGGTTCTCACATTTGTTTACACCTTGGAACATGCTGGGGAGCTTCAAAAAACACTGAAGTTGGGTTTCACTTCAAAACATTGTGATTTAATTGGTGTGGGTTGTGGTCTGGGCTTTGGAAGTTTTCAGAGACCTCTGATTAATTCTAAAATGCATGGCCAGTTTGGGAATCACTAAGCTAGCACCTAGGAAATGCTCATCAGGTTAGCGATTTCTCTTTCCAGGTGTATCCTGATGAAAGTTTTGGTGCTGCAGGTATCACATGCTAATTTCAAGTTCCCAGTTGTATGTTCTATGTGATTCTGAACTTCCTGGTCAAAACATATCAGGAAACAAAATGGAGTTACAGAAATTATATTGTTCAATATCACATATACTATATACAATAGAATTTTTTTGTTTCTGTTTTACATAAGAACTTAAATTACAACATACGTTTTTAAAGTACCATAAAATATGTTGTGTAATTTATACTACTAATTGTATCCTTTTCTACACTGAAATTTAAAAAAGCAAATCATGACTCCAACAATTATAGGCAGTTTCAAAGCTGATTTTGCACAGTGTCAACAAGTAAAAAGATTTGCTCAAGCATTCGATAATGATTTGCAAATCAGCAAATGGTGATAGCAGCTGCTTTATAGGTAGAGGAAAAATTATTCCTTGTTTTCACCCTCAGAAAATATGTCTCTTTAATTCATTTCCTGTTGTAATTTTGGAAATGTCCATTAGGCTTTAAAAAAAGCCTAGTCTCTTATGTCATGTACATAAAATTAATGTGAATTAACTGATAAAATCATATATGCACTGGGTTCAACTAAATAAATCAACAAGAACTCCTGCAAGAATAATATTAAAGACATTCAGAATTCACAGGCAAATAAAGAGGACTTGTTACCAAAACGTGTCGTCTTTCAGATAAAAATACCCTTTATCAAATGTCTCAGCAACTTTTCTAAGGTCGTAAGAAGTTATAGTAGAAGATCCTAGAGCTTATTTCTGTCATCTTCCAAACCATTGAGCTTTTGATTGTGGGACACTGATCTCTTGGAAAAGGAGTTGCATTGGATGTCAATACTTAAGTATTTAAATCTAGATTCCTTTAGGTCAGAGAAGAATGCATATTCATTACGGTAGTGTCAAAGCAAAAACTGCACACAGTTAAACGGACAAGGGAGGCTTTATTCAAGACAATTGGCATAGGCAAGCGGGAGCAGTACTGAGTAGGACATTCAAGTGCTGTAGTGAGAAAAGCATGGGCCCACTTATGTTTGCTAGTTGGCTTTACCAACCAGCAAGGAAAAGTACCAAAGGGAAAGTAAACTTTCTCTAGTCATTTTACAATTCCAGCACAGTGCCTACAACTTAAGCTCCCACCCAGCCAAAGACTGGGAGATGATGGGGTACTATCTTCCTCGATGATGACATTTCAAAGGGATGGCTCCTGGGTTTTTGAGAAAGATATTCCAGTGCTGTAAAACTGTCAAGAGACTTTTTAAAAGATTTACACCCTGAAGGGTCAGAGAATAAATGGACACTTACAAGTTTTCTAAAGTAAATTATTTAAGAACTGTATCCCAGAACAAAGTTTGAGAATGTTAAGAGTATGCAAATATCCAGCACACAGTAAATTAGGACTCATAATGTTTGTGATAAAATAAACATTACCAGGCACACAAAGAAGGAGGAAGGAACATGACACCAGAAAGAAATATGTAACTACACAAAGGGATGACCTCTGGAAATGATAAGTGTAAATAAATACATAAGATTTTTTAGCCAAATTTCTATATAGTTGTTTAAAGAAAAGTGTTAGTAATGTAGAGTAGAATTTATAGCATGTTTAATTTGTATGACTACAATAGCACAAAGATCAGGAGTGCAGATATGGACGTATGCTATCGTAAGACTTAAACTCTAATTGAAGTGGTATATCTCTTGAAGGTAGATGGTGGTAAGTTAAAGATGAATAACATAAACTTTAGAGCAGCCTCTAAAATAACGATATAAAAAGTTAAAGAAAGTAGGCTGGTAGAGGAGAAGAACTGGATTAATTTTTTAAAAATCAGTTAATCCAACTAAGAAAAAGAGAAAAAGAGCAGAGAACAAATAGAAAACAAACAACAAGATGATAGATTTAAATTTAACCATATCAATAGTCACATTACATTTAATGGTCTACATAAGCAAACCAAAAGACAGAGCTTGTCATTCTTTATAAATGTCAAGACCCAATTCCATGCTGCCTACAAGAAACACACATTAAAAATGAAGGCACAACTAAGTTAACAGTAAAACATGGAAAAAAGAAAATCAATCAACTAATAAACAGCTATCCAAATTTATCAGAAAAATGAAAGAAAATACACAAATTATCAGTACCAGAAATGACAGAGGAAACATTACAACAGGTATTACAGACAGGAAAAGGATAATAAGGGAATATTATGGGTAAATGTATGCCCATATTTTAAATTACTAATATGAAATTTAAAAATTTGAAAGGCAAACTCCGTATCATTTACTGAAGAGTTCTATCAAACATTTAAGGAAGAAATAATACCAAAGTCTACATAACATCCTCCAGAAAATCGAAAAGAAGAAAAACTACAACTCATTCTATGAAGCCAGTAATAACCCGAAACCAAACACAGTTATTATGAAAAAAGAAAAAACTGGAAGCCAATATACCTTATGCACATGGACACATAAATTCAAAACAAAAGTTTTGCAAATAGCATGCAAAAGTATATAAAATCATGGGAGGCCGAGGCAGGGTGATCACGAGACCAAGTGATTGAAACCATTCTGGCCAACATGGTGAAACCCCGTCTCTACTAAAAATACAAAGATTATCTCGGCATTGTGGCATGCGCCTGTGGTCCCTGCTACTTGGGAGGCTGAGGCAGGAGAATCACTTGAACCCGGGAGGTGGAGGTTGCAGTCAGCCTAGGTCGTGCCACTGTGCTCCAGCCTGGCGACAGAGCAGGACTCCGTCGCATTAAAAAAAAAAAAAAAAAAAAGTATATAAAATGAGTAATGCCTCATGACCACATGAGATTTATCCCAGGAATGTAAGATTGGTTTAACACTTTCAAACCAATCTACGTAATTTAGTATATTAACAAAATAAAGAATAAATGCTCTTAAACTGTCTCAGAAAAAGCATTGACAAAATCCTACCCTCTTTCCTGATAAAAATTCTCAGGAAAGTAGGAATAGAAATGCAGTTTCTCAAAATGATAGAGAACAGCTGTGAGATAACTTCAGCTAGCATCATACTTAAAGATGAAAGACGTAATGCTTTTCTCCTAATATGAGGAACAAAACAAGGATATTCGCTCCTATTATTTCTATTCGGTATTATACTGGAGATGTTACCCAGTGAAACAAGGCAAAAAAACAAAATGAAATAAAATAAAATTTAATAAAGCCTCTACAAGGAGTCTTCTGAAAAAGAAGACATGAAACTAACATGACTGTTCATGTGGGCAATCAGACAAAATATTTTAAAAAGTTACTAGAACCAATAATAGCAAGATTCAAGATAAAAATCGATATACAGAATCAATTGTATTTTCATAAACTAGCAACAAGCAATTGAAAATAAGAAAAATATATTTCACAAAAGCATCAAAAATATGTCCTAGAGACAAAACTTACAGAAGATGTGAATAAAGCTGAAAAATGTAAAATGTTAGGGGGAATGAAAAATACCTATATTATAGAGATATGTAGTATTCATGGCTGGAAAGATACAACATTGTTAGCATGCCAGTTCTCCTCAAGTTGATCTATACTTATAATGCAATGCCAATCAATATATTAACTGACTTTTTTTTGTGTGAGAATTGACAAACACAAATTCATATAGAAATGGACAAAACTAAAGTAGCAAAAATTACATTGAAAAGGAGAATCTAGCAGGAGGACTAAGACTCTCTGATATCAAGACTCATAAAGCTACAGAAGTAAAGTCAGTACAGCATTAGTACAAAGATAGATAAATTTGTCAATGGAACAGAAGAAATGGTCAAGAAATAGGTGCACACATATGTGAACAACCGATTTTCAGCAGAAATACAAAGGTAATTCTACAAAGGTAAGTCTTTTCAAGAAAGGTGTTGGAATTACTAGCTATTCATATACAAATAGTCCATACTTCATACTATATAAAAATAATTCAGCATGTATCATAGACCTAAATATGAAGTCTAAAATTATAAAACTTTTAGAAGGAAACATAAGGAAAAAAACTTCTGTGCCTTAGTTAGGCAAATATTTGTTTAAATCAAAATCTACCAAGGAGCAAATTATTTAAAAGCTCTGCTCTTCCAGAACAGCATTAATAAGGATGAAAGACAAGACAGAGTAAGTGAAAATATTTGCAAATTATATGTAAATTCAAGGACTTGTGTCAGAGTATATAAAAAGTTCTAAGAACTCAACAATAACAAAAGTAAACAACCCAGGTTATTAAACAAATTATATGAATGGGAAGCAAGCTTATGGAAAGATGCTCAACATCATTAGTTATTAGAGAAAGATGAATTAAAACTGCAATGACATATCACTACACACTTATGAGAATGAGTGAGAATGACTATAATTAAAATGACTGTATGAGAATGACTATAATTAAAATGATTACTAAGTGTTGGAGGGTATGTGGAGGAAAAGGAACTCTCATACACTAGGGGAGGTAAAAGGGTACAATCACTTTGGAATATAGTTTGGCAATTTCTTGACGTTGAAACATTGTCTGCCATTTCAGTCTTGAGTATTTACCAAAGAGAAAAATGAAAGTATCTCCATACGTAGACTTGCACATAAATGTCTATATCATATTTATTTGCAGTAGCGCCAACTTATGTCCATCAACAGGTGAATGAATAACAAAAAGTGTTGCATCATACAATGGGATATTACTCAGTGATAGAAAAGAGTGAACAATTAACATATGACACAACATGAATGTATCTCAAAATAATTATGTTGACTGAAAGAAGCCAGACAAGGAAATGTATATACTGTATGATTCCATTTATATAAAAGTCAAAACAAAAACAAAAACAAATGTCAACTAACCTACAGTGTTATCAAGCAGATTAGGGTTGCTTGGAGGCTAAGCTTGGGGACTGGGGCAAGAAGAGAGGGGAGTTAAGAAGGAAAAAGAGAAAATACCTGGAGGTGATGGATTTTCTAGATTGTGGTGATACGGCTGTAGTTGTATAGATATGTCGAAGCTTTCCAAATTCTATACTTTAAATATGTGCTGTTTGTTTATATCAATTACAAGTCAATAAAACATTAAAGAATAATGATGAAAGTAGATGTTTCAGTGTGTAGTCCTCTGCAACAGATAGGAGTAGGGTGTCACAACACAATTAGGCCAGTGGCCTAGAATTTTAATATCTCGTGGACACCCAAATATAATAACATGATTTAATAACTAAGAAGATGAAAATTGTAGGTGACATATTGGATTTTAAGCCCAAAATTTAACCTGCTGTTTTTATTTGAAAGAGGACAGGCAATCTCATTTTAGTGGATATGAGAGTGCGGTGTTAATTGGGTCATAGTTTCTCAATAGCTTTACATATTTCTCAATCCATCACACTTGTCAAAAAATAGATTAGTATTAGTAGCACAATGATGTAAATGTTCTCATAAGGCTGATACTGACTATGTAAAGAAAATGCTTTTTTACACTTTACAATTCCATCTTTTGTTTGCACAGGAAAATATCATTTGTGAGAAAAAAAAGCTCGAATGAAAAGCCATCTAGGTCATTAAAATAATTTATTCAAACCTTCATAAAATGTAAAAGCCTTGGCCTCCAGTTGTTACCGATAGTGTATACACAAGTCAAATCACAAAATTTATATTCTCTGCCCAAATTTCCTTCCCAACCACACAATTAAGAAGTTATTTTCTTTTAGCCTTTAAACACTCAGCTTAGAAGTCATTTTCTCAAGGTAGCTGTATTTAAACCTCCTCCTCTTACCAATGTCACTTTCCTAAACTTTTGATAATTCTCTTGTTTTCTCAATCATCTGTACACACGTCATCTACAGTACTGAGTCCCTTGATTTTAATTATACATTGAGTGATCTATCTTGCCCTTTAGATTTTTAATATCTTAAGAAAATGGAGTATGCTATTTTCTTCTTATCCTAATCTAGGATCTGCTATAGGATGAATATTGAATAAAATGTTAACAAAGTTGATCCGTTTGGGGATATTTCTCTGGTTTATAGCAAATCCTGAAAAATTCCTCTTTTCCTTCTATGTCTGCTCTGTAGATCTATGTTAGTAAGTCTTCATAAAATTCTGAGGTTTCAGATGTTCCCAGAGGGTCTGTTCAAGTGATTTTAATCAATCTGCCACAAAAATCTTAATAGAAATACAATTGTGTTGTACACTATATGTTTGATAGAATCAAGATGAGATACCACAAATTGCTTGAATAAATCAAATGAAAGAGCCATATGGAAGGGGGATTCTGATAGTAATTCAATCTCTAAACTAGAGTCAAACAATCATTTTAACCAATCTGATGAGACACCAAAATGGCCACATTTTATTCTTATGCTTATTATATAGCTTTGTCCAGATTGGGCTCAATAAATTCTAGTTGGATTAAATTTTGTACAAGATGTTTTTATTGCATTGCCCATTCATTTACTTAAAACAAATGTTTACTGAACACTTTATATGTGAAAATAATTTGCTTTTGGAGGTCTGTGTAATAGGAGTGACTGTCCCTGGAGTAGGGCTGTTCACCTCGGGGATGCTCAGTTATCTGACTGTGAACATGCAGATTTAGGCAGAGAGTAATTTTTAATCAACATTTCACTCCAAGTTTTCCTTGAATGTCTACTTTGTTCAAATGCTGTTCTAGTAAATGGAAATAAATGGCAAGTAAAATCAGGCATGGTTCCTTTCTCTATGGGGCTTATATACTTCAATTAAATAGATATTTAGGGGAAAATCTCAACTGTAAGAAGTGTCACTGAGATATGAAATGACCAGTACTTTCTGAGAGGTTTGGGATGGAAAAGTACAGTGAGTTCAGCTTCAGACGTGGCGAGTTTGAGATGCCTTTGAAGGATAGAAAACTTGATGTCAAATAAGCAGTTGAGTATGAGAGTCTGGAAATCAGAAGAGGGTTATTGATAGTTATTTTGAGTCTTTATGACCGAAGTCATAATTGAAGACAGAGGTGTGCATGGGATCACCTGAGGAAAAAGTAGAGTGAGCATGAAGATGCATGGAAATAGGGAAGGTTGATGTCATGTAAGAATCTGTGTGTGCACCATGGGCAGTTAGACCAGAGATGGAGCGCCAGTTAGAAGCGCTATCCCTTTGCACTTGAAACTGGGGTTGGTGAATCAGTAATGTTTATTAGACTTTCCAGGTCTCAGACACCACCAGGGATATACTGAATTAGAATCTGCATTTTAATAACATCCCAGTATAATTTTAATGTGTATTACAGTTTTAGGTATGCTACTGTATGACACTGGATGCTATGAGTAATTATGTTACAGTTTACTTATTCTACTGCCTACAAGTCTGTGAGCTAATGAAAATGAAAGAGTGACTTAATCTTTGTATTTCTGGTGCTTAACACAGTGCCTGGCATACATAAAATTTTTAATAATTGTACAAGGAATGAATAAATACACAACTGGGAGAGAATGGAAGGTGAATGAGAATTGGTTTATTTTTCTGTACCTCCCCTCCCCAAATTCAAATAAGTTGTTCAACTTTGACCTCAATTGTAGTTTAAATTTACAGCTTTCCCGTATGTTTTTGTCATATATTCCCTTTCTTTCAAATATTCTATTGAAATATTGCTGAGTTCCCTAAACTTCTCCATCTTGGATAACACATCTTTTCTATACTATTTGTTTAAAACAAAAGAAAACAACCCAAAGCGTTTTTAAAGCAGGTGCGTGCACATTAATATCATGTTACATTTCATTTCTTTTTTGTTGTTAATCTGGTGCTTTTACAGAAGGAAAACAGTATTAATATTATGCACTGGATTTCTAAATGGAAATTAGTAAATATGGCATTAGTAAAATTAGGCTCTTAAATACTTTTATTCTTCTCTGAAAATGGAATACATTTTTGTTACGTTTAATTAATACCTGGACTTTGTAAAAATTTGAATACACAAAATCCTCTGTAATCTTTTATTCCCCTAGAGTTAATCACTTTTAAGAATTTATATATTTTTAGATATTTTATAAACATGTAGTTATTTGATGGGACAATATGAATAAATTTTTTCTTGGTTATAAAATAAAATAATAATATACAATTGAATATAGATTATTTATTTTTAACCTGATAGCCTATCATCTCCTCTTGATATAATTATTTATTTTTCCTTTCTCATCTCTGATGACATCAATATTTCCCCTGTTTTTCTCCTTTCTTTCTTATAGGAGTCATTCTTGCCTTGGGTTTGTTTATATTTTTGGTTATCTGTTTTCTAGTGTATTTTTTATTTCCTAATTTATTTATTTTGTATTCTAAAGCCTTTCTTATAGCTTTTCAGGTGTCTCTTCATGTTCAGTTTTTAAGTCTTGTTGACATAAGTAAATTCATTAGTTAACTAAGTCACATCATCATAATAAAAGCAATAAGACTATTACTTTTTTCAGTGCTGCTTGAGAGCATTCTGTAGGTTTTTAAATCTAAACAATCTCCCATTTTAGTTTTGGTTTCTTCTTCGATCATGAGTTAGAGGTAGAGTATTGTTTATTCTTTTAATTCCAAATTTTAATACAATCCTATTATTATTAGATTTGCCCTGCTGTAGTTTATGATATATCTTGAAAGATATGTACTTACTAGCATTGGATATTTATATTCTTTCACTGTTTATAAGTAAAATATTATACATAGGAAATTTGACATTAATACAGATTTGAAAATTATTGGTAGTATTATTCAAATTGTCCATATTATATTTTCTCCACTTAATGTATTGATTTATAAAAATGCTATGTTAATATCTTGATTAAGACTGTAATGCTTTAAATTCCTCTCTCTATTGCTCACAGCCTTTGGTTTCTTGTAGTGTAGTGTATTTGCTAGGTGCATAAGGGCTTGTGATCATCATATAATATCCCACTTATTCTTGTTTAATATTTTGGCCTAAAATTCTACATTTTAAAGTAAGAATTGTATATTGCCACTCATATTTTCTTTTGCTTGTGTTTTCTCACTCATCTTTGGCGACTCCTTTACTTTCCGTCTTTCATGTCGATTTTCTCAAATATGCACCAGTCAAATCCCAATCAAAAATGGGATGTAGCTCTGGAAACTTCACTCTAGGAAAAGTGATTGGCTGGAGGTTAAACATCGCACCTACCAGTTTGACTGGACCAGATTTGGGTGGCACTATTGAGGAGGAGCTATCAAACAAGTTAGATTCATAATCAGGTCAGCTTGTGATGTCAACTAGCTTTTTGAGTTCTGCGAACTATGGCCGCAGAGATTTGTCCTCAGTGGATCCCCTCTCGAGTATCGGGATTGTCCTGATAGGCTGTTATGTCCCCACTCCCAAGAAACATATTTTGTGACTCTTAGCATGTAGAAGTCTTACCTCGGGAATGGGGGACACAAATGAGTCTCCTCCTGGGTGGATTAGAACTGAGTGGGTAAAAGGTAAATGGTCTGTCTGCCTGAGCTCCCACAAGCGAGTTGAGTGGCCTTAGGGTTCACCAGGTTCAGTCAGTTCAAAAGATGCTAAATGATGTCCAGTAGAAGCGCCCACATAACCTGCATAGCTTCCTACCTCCCTTTTGCAGGTATATAAGTAGTGGGTTCTGTGGTACACCCCCAGATTCCTCATTCAGAACTATGGGAAACTGACAGCTCCTAGTAGAGTTCTGTGAGAATTGCTCTGGGCTGGACTGCAAGGAGCTGCTTTTCCCGAGAACTGCCATCTCCAATAACTACTCAATGCAGAATTATTTAAAAAAGAACCATAACGCTTGTTTCAATTCAGGACCACTTTTCAGGGTTATCCCATTGCAAAGCTACGTGTGGGATTGGCTGAATTCAAATATTCTCTCTACCCCATCCTGCTTTCTGTCCTCTCCAGCAAGTGGTGATCCTGAGAGTTTGCGCTAATGAAATTCCTGCATGCAAATCACAATCTTTTTGTTTTAGAGGTAACCCAGTTAGCATCACCAGCTCCAAAAAATTTGAAGCTCTAAAGTCCTAGGCAGGGCATCTTCCTGATATCTATTGGTGAAAAGGCTTTCTTCTTTATATCAAGGCATTTCAGTGAGAAATAAGACATGAGGAATAGTCAAATTTGTATGCGGAGGCTCTATCTTGTTTACATGTCTTGTGATATGACAGAACAGATTTTATCTGTGTCATTTTAGTGAGCTAATGTATTTTGTGCTGCAATCTTGAAAATAGGGCTAAGTGAGAGAAAAAAAGGTTTGAAGAAGTGATCTAGCAATAACAGTAGTGACAAAAATCACTTAATGGAAGAAGTGGAGGGGATTAACTAAAGCAAACCTTTCCATTTACAGATGTGTATGACTTAGTCTGTTTCTTCAGTGCATGGCTTATAAGATCAATTTATTTTTAGCCTTGTAACCTTTGCATAGGATTTAAAGGAGAAGGGTTTTATTTACGCTTGTGACCTTTATTGGATCCACGTGCTATCATTTGAGGGCTATATTAAACAACTTAGAAAAAATTTTTTCTGGGATAAAAAAATCATAGGTGAAAAGTTTTATTTTAGAAAGCACTGAAAAGAAATAAATTTGAAGGAAAGCGTGAAACTTTGGGGTTGCAATGAGTGATCTCTCCTACAGAGGAATAAACAGTCTTGTAAGTAGTGAAATTTGAATACGGCTGAAAGGGATGACCTGCGTGAAAGTGTTCTCCATACATTTTCTTGAATTTTAACAACCATGACTTTTCTAGAGCTAGCTTGAATTCCAAAACAATACTATTTGAAAATTAGAAAATGAATTTAGGCCAGGCAACAGTGGCTCACACCCGTAATCCTAGCACTTTGAGAGGCTGAGGCGGGTGGATCACTTGAGGTCAGGTGTTCGAAACCAGCCTGGGCAACATGTTGAAACCCTGTCCGTACTAAAAATACAAAAGAAAGAACAATGTAGCCAGGGTGGTGGCACACGCCTGTAATTCCCGCTACTCAGGAGGCTGAGGCAGGAGAATCACTTGAACCCGGGAGGCGCAGGATGCAGTGAGCCAAGATTGTGCCGCTGGACTCCAGGCTCGGCAATAGAGTGAGACTCTGTCTCCAAACAAAAAAAAAAAAAGAAGAAAAAGAAAATGAATTTATACCTCACTGGATAGCTTCCACTGTTTGGAACTGTTACATTTACCAATCTAATTCCATTTTTTCATCTGTATACATTTGCTCATGCAACACATATACACACAGTACCTGGTGTATGCCATATATGGTGTTCGATGTAGTTACCTGCTTAATTTCCTATTTTCCTGGGAGTATTAACCGTGATACTCATTTGTGACCCAAGTTTCTGGGCTTTGGCTTTAGTAAAGAAATACAATGGAAAGGTTGTTTGTCATCTCATTCAGAAATCAAATAAAATCAAACTTTCAGTCCAGAAACTTTCCAAATCTTTAACTTGCTCCTCCTATTTCAGTTTTGCCTAAAGTAAACCCTGAGGAGACCTACTTTTTACTAGAACAGGGCTAATCCCCTGTTGCCAGTGACATTTAATATGGATTTTTTGTTTTTCATGTCTGCAATGGAAAAGAACAAACTGTTCTCACAATATATGGCAGAAATGATTCAAGCTCCCTTGTTCTGCATATCTTATCACGACGAATTTCTTAATGCGGGACACTTGCCCAAGTGCAAACATCATTTGTTGCATTGATCCTTATCATGTTTAAGCATGCTGTTTAGACAATTATCTCTGTGCCAATCTTTCACATCCAATTGATTTAGCATTTACTTAAATGATTAGTGACTGTGTTACTTTCCTTACTTAGTTACTATCTCAGATACATAAAAATGAATTTTCTATATTTTCATATCAGAAAATATGTTTATATTTAACTAATAAAATACAGAGAAACCAGTAACTATTCAAGCTGAATAATGCTGTATATTTCTTTAAGTAGTATTGTTTGAGAAACTTCTATGACATTTATTGTATCTATAAATAAAAATAGAACACACATTCATTTTTCTTGTGTGTATGATAGATCATAAATTGTACAGATATATATATATATATACAATTACCTTGATTTGACTTTTTCCCCTTTTTTCATATTCCTTGTTAAAAGGGTAATAGCTATCAACATTTGAGGCAATATGTCTTTTCTTAAATGCATGGTATAATATATTAAGGAATAAAAATATATAAACTGTTGTCTATATGAGAAGTCTTCAGCTCTGGAGTGAAACAGAGATTTGGAAAAATAAATCAGAAACTGGTTGACGTAATAATTAATTCACATACCATTGAGGGAATTTCATGATACACTTGATGTTGAGGTCAGCAAAGAGACAAAACTTCTTTCCTTTTTATCCCCTTCCTGTCCTTCTTTCTGTCCTATGTTTATTGAATGCTTATTACTTGGTCTTAAAGTTTTTCAGATTAATTGGAAAATGATACATATGATAAAATAATTAAAGGATGATATAATCAGTGCTCCGCAAGAAGGAATAAGAAAAGTATTCAGAAGCCACAGTAAATTATGACATACATTGGCTTGCTCCTGTGTTGCTATGAATAGGGAGTAGTTTGCGGCCCTATTGCCATATACCTTGAAGGCAGTTTCTGTGTTGTCTGTTGAGTGATCCTGTACTACCCAACTGCTTACACTACTTGTGGGGTTCTGATGTATCCCTACATCATTGCTTTTATTCGTGCCTTTTCTCTTCTTGTGAAGTCATTTGTACAGTAGTTCCTCCTTATCCATCAGGAATACATTCCAAGACCCACTAGTAGATGGCTGAAACTGCAGATCCTAGTGGACCCTATATGTACTATGTTTTTTCTTAAAGTTTATCATATACTATGTGATAAAGTTTAATTTATAAATTAGGTAAGTAAGAGTTTAACAAAAATAATAAGAGAGAACAATTATAACAATATAATGTGATAAAAATTATGTGAATGGGATCTCTCTCTCTCTCTCAAAATACCTTATTGTATGGTACCACGGTAGCTGAGCCTACAAAAAGTAAAACCATGGACCATGAGAATCTACTGTAATACACATTCTATTCCTCTGTAGCCAGCCTGTAACTTTTATCGCTTGCATTTAGAAACCAGCGTATTTTCCAAGATGTTTCCAAGAAGTTCAGTTTCTACAGTAAACAACAGGTCAGTAGGCAGTCCATTTGAGTCTAGGCTGGTATTTAGGATTCGGAGAGATTTACCAACTAATAAAAATATTGATAAAAAGAAAATGATGGAGCTGGGAAGGTCAGCAGATTGTTTAAGCTCATTAGCAGACAAAAAGTACCCATAGGCTAAAAGATACAATTCAGTGAATTTCAGGCCCCACTGATGCATTGATTCACAGCTTGCCGCCAAGGAATTTAGAGTTAAAATGCTAAGCACATAAAAGGACGTCCATGGATAAACAATAATGCACTCTCTTCTTTTGTAAAATGTAAAATTGGCTTTGTGATTTCTGCTTGAGTGAGTGTGTGTGTGTGTGTGTGTGTGTGTGTGTGTGCCATTTCCTTGCAGTAGAAAGATAATATTCCTTGTGCTTTTCTAAGTGAATACAATTCCACTTTCAAAGGCCACATGATTCTGTCTTCACAGAACTAAACTAGCTGTGGAGTGTGTAAAAAAAATCAGTGATTTCCTTAATTGATGTAGTAGAAATGATGACTGCTCTTTGATGGTATATGAATAAATAAGCTTCTTTGGCTATTTCTTCACAGCTCAGAAGTGGTACAGTATTTATGGCTTGAGTATTTCATATTTGTGACTCAGTAATATTCAAGCTCTAAGACAGGTATGGCTTAATTTTCTTCACATTTCTGGTGTTGCACCACCCATAGCTCAGAACAGTGACTATTGTAGCTGCTCAAGAAAAGATGAAGCTGATCAAGATTAAGAAAATGAAGATTATGTTCTTCAGCTGCTTGCAGTGGCATACAACAGAGATTGGTACTTTGTGGTACCTCTAGCCTATGAAAATCTGACTGGCAAAATTTCATTTGAATCATTGCATCACAGATGCTAGTTCTTACTCTCAGAAGTGTTGTTTTGGTACAATTCCCAAACCCATAAAAAAAAAATCAGAGAGGCCACTTGTATTCCATGGTGTCTCAACCTGTGGCTATCAATAAAATAATCAAGCCAAGGAAATTATAGAATTTTATTGCATTTGCAGCTGATCCAAGCGTTACAATAAATACAGTCTACACTGTAGTGCCTTTTACAGAAAAAAAAATATTGCATTCACCCTCAAAGAGCGTTGGTAAAAATTATTCATGGATATATAAGATGAAATCCTGAAAACAATTTATGGAAATTCTTTTTATTATGTTTTCATTTTCCAAATGCATGTCAGTCTTCACCTTTATAATCTGTGCAACCTCTTTGCTTCACAGTTGTGTGAAAGATTTGGCAGCAAAGTAAAACTAGAGTATTGAAATGGCAGCACGAGCTCTGAAATAGAAGACTTTTGGCAGAGTTTTGATTGGTTGCTCAGCCCCATGGTAATCAGTTAAAACTGACCTTCCCTCAGCGCGTGCTGGAAAATCAGGAAAAGCTAATTACCTGCTCCCTGTATGTTGTCCTCCCATTGTCCTTTTTCTAAAAACAAGATAGTGACTGTATATTTGGACTAAAGACTATTTCGATTACCAATAAGTAGGTGGTGAAAGAAAAGATATACAAACCAGTAGAATTAAAGCGTGAACGATTACAGAGAATCTTTAAAAAGTAACTTAAGAACAGTTTGTTCTGAATGGACTACCTTTTTCTCTGGAATATGTGTGTAAAATAAGCTTCAGTGTTCAATGACAGTGCTTTCTGCTGTTGTTGGTGGATACTGAGAAGAACGAAAAAGCCCATACACTGAATAGATATTCTGCATTAGCTATTGTTAAATGATTCATTCAGCTGTTTTGTATATTTTAAAACAAAGTCATCCTATGTTTTTAAGAAAAAGTTATGGCTGATATACTATAAGCAACATTGTATTTACCCATTAATTTGGAGGGTACTCTATGTACGATATCCATGGATTAGTTATAATCTTGCTAATTTGAAACTTTCACTCCTGCTGCACCAGAACTAATATACCAAACAACCAACCAACCAAAGAAAGCATATCATCAGTTATAAAGGAATCATGAATATGTATTCTAACTTCATTTCCATCTCCATTGTATCACTATAGATATAATTATCTACCAATTACATATCATGTTCATAGAGCTTCATGTGAATAACTTCTGATATCTGTCAGACCTCTGAAACGTTTAGAATTGTATGCTATTATATTTTGGTTGTATTGCTCAAAAAATGTCTTTGAAATCTGTCTAAAGTATGTAGTTGATGGTAATGTTTATACAGTAAGTTGGCATTAGTGTTTGTATGCCATAAGGAAGAAAAAATGTTTGTTTTACTATGTAGTAGGAGTTCATGATTTGTTTTATTTTGTTCAAACATTAGAAAACTTTCAAACATACAGAAAGATTAAAAGAGTTTTAGAGAATCTGTCTATCAAACACAGATTCTGTAATTACTGTTTGGCTATCTTTGTTTTATCCCCTAAATATCTGCCTATTTATGTCTTTTTCTCTGTCATTCAACCTTTATATTTTTATTCATTTAAAAATAAGTTGCAGACATCTGTGTGTTTCCGCCTAAATATTTAAGCATGCAACATCATAGAGTTCAATATTTTTTAGTTTTTATACTTTTGAGATAAAATTTACATGTGATAAAATGCACAAATCTAAAGTGTAAATTTTCTGAGTTTGTGCAAATGCACACAACTAGTATTACTCAAACTCCTATTGAGATGTAGACTGGACCACCTAGAATGTTCTTTCATTATCCTTTCTAGTCAGTTTCCACCTCCACAGTCACTTCTCATTTTTTTCACCACAAATCGTTTTTTTCTGTTCTGTAAGTTCTAAATGGCATCATTCAGGATGTGACCTTTCGTGTTCATCTTCTCAGCATTGTTTTCAGAGTTTACCATGTTACCTAACGTATCAGTATTGCATACCTTTTCTTGCTAAGTATAAATATTCCATTGTATGAACATACCACAACCTTTTATCCATTGACCAACATTTCATTTGTTTCTGTTTTTGGGGAATTTTGAATAAAGCTACTATGAACTATTTTATGTAAGCATTTTTTATGGATACATATTTTCTCTTGGGTAAAAACCTAGGAGGGTAAACTTGGGTCCCTTTTTTACTCATCAGAATATATAAAATAAACTGTTACTCTTTTTGTTTGTAAAAAGAAAAAAGAAAAAGAAAAAATTTCAAATAAAAAAGTCCAGAGGACCCCTACTGGTTCTACCCAACATGTTATAAGGTGAAATTATTCTTTCATGAGTAAAATGCTAAAATAGAGATGAATATGTGATAAATTCACTTTTGTGACTTTTTAGTGTGCTAATTTCTTTCAAGTACTGTAGGATTCAGTACTTTAAATTAGTTTGGTAAATTTATTTCACACTCTTAGTGTTGCACATAAGAAGTATTTTTCTGTAAGTCTTGTTGTCATTCTCTTAGTAAATGAATGAACATTTACTTACGTAAGTCATTTTATATTTTCAGCATAGCAAAAAGACACAATTTCTTGACTTTTGTTTTATGTATATTTCCAACTACAGCATCCACCATGAGAAGAAAACTTGAATTCACCATCATGAATGTATATTCACAATACGTAACATTGAATTTGCAATATATAAAATTTGCCGTAAAAATAGAGGGATTAAAATAATTACTCCAAATGCAAATATCCCAAAGTAGCTTTAAAACAATATATCTGGGCACCATATAATAAGAAATCTTGAGTTTACCTCAAGTAAAACATGACAAGTAAGCTAGTTTTATCTCACTGAGAATTATGTGAATGATTTGTAAAATTCAGGTTTAGATACTAAACATGTATATTAAATATAAAATATGCATCTATGTCAAAATCTATTTTTTGAGAATCGGTAAGACCAAGTGACAACGAATGGAAAGGTTAATATATTTACCATAAGTTTTATGAAAAATACATCTAAAAAAGGTAGATATGAATTTCCCACAAGCACACTGAAGCTATTTCACATATACTTACTTTACTACAAAAGTTTTATGGTAACCATTAAATTTAAAAAGAAGATGAAAATTTATATTTGGCAAATAAATTTGGATGCATATGTTAATACATATTCATTCTACTGAACAATATCACCATCTGTTTCCATATTTACATGGCTATTTGCATAAGAGAGAAAACAAAATTATACATATTTATAGAATTTATTTAATGATAATAATTGCAATCAAGTTCAATGTTATGTAGAAGTAGCTTTTCTTGTAGCCAAAAATTTAATTTTTCTCTTATACTTCAAATTAACCATATAAATTCCAGGGTTGTTTTTTTCTATCGTGCTAGGGCACATGTAATTGTGTGTGTGTATGTGTGAGTGTGTGTGTGTGTTTCTGTCTGTATATACACACAGAGCCAAGTTTGTTTGAGAAAAAATATGCTGTCAATTAAAAAGGACTGCCAGTTCCAAATACCAGACAAAAGGTAAAATTCATTACTCTTTCTAAAAAGTAGAAGACTGGTAGAAATGTATTATTATTTTCCTAGTAATGTAACAATGTAAAAATAACCTGGGCATTCTAGTCTGAGCATAGATTTTAAAAATATTTTACAAACAACAAATCTGACCATCAAGGAAATGTGAATTTAGTTGTATGATGACTTTTATATCACTCAATCATCAGTAATTTTGTCTTCAAAATATTTTTATTCTAGAAGATAACTTTGTGTGCTTTTGGTACTTTTTGTGATTTTGTTATTGTGTTACTTTGTGTTTTTGTCTGTCTCTTATAAGACATTGTATGCACCGAGATTCTGTGCATGAAATATGAAAACTATCCTGTTTATTTGTCTGAGACCTGAAGGCAAGTGTTATAAAAATATGTAAAATATAAACTTCTATTTAATATTTCAAAAATTAATAAATGTCTGATATACTAAAGAGCTGAGATTGCAGATTATTGGGAAGGGAACAGACTGTGCAAAAACTGATATTGGGACTTTTATTAAAAATAAAAGTAGGCCAGGTGTGGTGGCTCACGCTTGTAATTCCAGCAGTTTGGGAGGCTGAAGCAGGCGGATCACGAGGTCAAGAGATCAAGACCATGCTGGCCAACAGGGTGAAACTCCATCTCTACTAAATATACAAAAATTAGCTAGGTGTGGTCACGCATGCCTGTAGTCCCAGATACTCGGGAGTCTGAAGCAGGAGATTCGCTTGAACCCAGGAGGTGGAGGTTGCAGTGAGCAGAGATCGCGCCATTGCCCTCCAGCCTGATGACGGAATGAAACTCCGTCTCAAAAAAAAAAAAAAAAAAAGTAAAAGTAGTGTCCTACCTACATTAAGCACTAAAAATAAATTTCGATTGCATTAAAATCCCAAATGTGAAAAGTAAAATTATAAAGTTTTAGAGAATCTCTAACTATGCAGCAAAATATTGGTACATTCAATGGCATTAAAATGAACAACTCTTGTTTATTCAAAAGACACCATAAGAAGTGAGAAGACAACTCATAAAGTAGAAGTGGGCTCTTGCAACACAAAAACTGATAAAAAAGTTTTGAGTTGATATACATGATTCAAAAGTGATATTTGGATTATATCCAAAATATTTAGAAAACTTCTGTGAATGAAAAAAAAGGTCTTGATAATCCAATAGAAAAGTAGTAAAAGTGAAAATCTACATGTCAATTAAATATTTGAAAATCAACCTTTTTAGTAACTAGGAAAGTGAAATCATAATTTGATTCCATTATATACCCAGTACATTGGCCAAATTGAAATCTGAGAACACCATGTATCGGTAACAATATGGAGCAGCATGAGTGTCATATGTTTCTTGCACTGTCACTTTGGAAAACAGCTTGGTATTACCTACTTAAGTTGAAATGCACATCCCTGTCACTGAGGAACTTCACATGTGAAAATAGGCACTAGGAAAGAGGCACAACAATGCTTAAAGTACATTGTACGTTTGAGCCCCAGCTGGGAAGAACCAGGATCTCCAGTCGTGTTTGGAAGGACAAACTGATAGGCTTATACAATGGACTAACATAACACAAAAGAAAAACAGTATAGCTACACACATCAACATGGATGGGTTTCACAAACATAACATTGAAGAAAAGAAGCAAGTGACAAGCATATAGAAAATAGGAAGTTTTGAAGTTTTCTTTTTTTTAACTTCACTAAATTACGCTGGATATGGATGCATGGCCAATAAAACTACAAGGAAAATAAAGGGAATGATTATTACTATTGAAGAAAAAAGGAGAAGGTGGTTTAGCAGATGCACAGAGAAGACTTCTCAGGTTCTGAGAATGTTAATTCAATATGAAATAAAGCTATACATAAAGGAAAATGTCCTATATCTTATTTGATTATGTAATAATACTATATCATAGCACCTGGGAAAGCAATAACTTGAATTATAAGCTGTTACAAATTTATGTTTGTTTTCTATTACTCTGTAACAAATCATCACAAACAATGACTTAACAGTCCACACATTTATTATGCAAGTTGCTCTGGTCAGGAATAAGAATGGGTCCTTTGCTTCAGTGTATCTCGCAGGCTGCAATGAAGATAATGGACCTGCTTGGAGTCTCACCTAAGGCTCAATCAGTTAAGAATCCAAACAGTCTGAGGTTTTAGGAAGATTCGGTTCCTACAGATTGTGGAACCGAAAGCCTCAGCTCTTTTTTGGCTGTTGGCTGGAAGCTGCCCATTGCCCCTTACCTCTTCTTTGGGTCCCTTGCTCCATCAAAGCCAGTAGGGGAGTACATTGATAAAGAGAGTCTGTGAGCAGGAGAACAGTTATAATTTTGTGTAATGCAATCGTGGAAGCTGCATTACATAACTTTGCCATCTTTTACTGGTTTTAACAAGCTGCAACTCCTGTGCACATTTAGTGGAGGAAAATAAACCTCCAGGAAAATGAAACCAGTGGCAGGAAATCATTGAAGACAACCTTCAATGATTGAAGGTGGATGTGAAGGCAGATAGAGTCTGTCTGCCACATCTTCTGTAGCTGTGTGTAATTCCAAATCTTTGATCAATTTTCATGTTATTTTGTACTTATAAACCTTTTCCATACCATGTATACCTAGTAGTATTGTACCTTGCAAATAGTGGAAGATCAAAGAAAGCGTATATAAATAAATTAAGGAATCTTTTATGTTCTCTGAAAATGCACAGTAAAGCTGTACTTTAGACAAGTCTACATTATGCATCTATCTGATAGAATGAAGTTATTGTTTTGAATTTAAGGCTAAATTAAGTAGCATTTCAAGAGCATACTTCAGAAGAAATTCATAATTTTTTCAACATTGACTGTTTTATCTGTCATATAAATTTCCTTAAACTGTGTAAAGAGTTTACTTAACTAAACTTATCAGTAACACTGAAAGGACTGGGGATGAAAAAAATATTTAGCCAGTATCTCCTGTAAATGCTTTAAACATAAACATATTTTAGGCAAGTAGAGACTTGAGTGTTTACAAGAATTATAGAACTGAACTCTCTGAAGTAATCATAATAGTGTATATTGCTTGAGTATTTTGTATCAAGTACTATTGTAAACACTTATCCTGAATTAATTCATTTAGTCTCTTAAACACATCATGCTAGAGGCGTCATTATTTTCCCGTTTTTGCAAATGGGGAAATTGAGTCCCAGTATAGTAAAGTGACTTAAAAGTCTGCATAGTGAGTAAGTGGTGAAATGAACCGGAGAACTACACATCTGTCTTCAGAGCTGGGGTCCTTAACCTCTGTTATTGCACTTCTGCTACCCTGTTTCCATGGCTACGGCAGTGCTAACATGAGAGAGATCAAAACTACATCTTTGGATGTTTTCTGAGTTAGGCTGGGAGGGGTGATAATATGTGTTGGCTCTGAGTCCCCACCCAAATCTCATGTCGAATTGTAATTCCCAGTTTTGGGGGAGGGACCTAGTGGACGGCGATTGAATCATGGGGGCAGATTTCCCCCTTGCTGTTCTGGTGATAGTGACAGAGTTCTCAAGACATCTGGTTGCTTGAATGTACGTAGCGCTTCCCCCTTGGGACTGTCTCTCTCATCTGCTCTGCCATGGGAAGAAGTACTTGCTTCCCCTTCGCCTTGCACCATGACTGTAAATTTCTTGAGGTCACCCAGCCATGCTTCCTATACATCCTGTGGAAGTGTGAGTCAGTTAAACCTCTTTTCTTCACAGATTACCCAGTTTCAGGTAGTTATTTATAGCACTGTGAGAACGGACGCATAGAGGTGATAAAACACACACAAACGTCTGATTTTGTTTTATCCCTGTGTATGCCTATGCTTATTCACCTTATCTTCAAGAAGTTAGATGGCCAACCCTGATCAGCAAAATCCACCAACCCACCCGAGATATTTTTCTCTTGCTCTAGAATTTTGCAGTGTTGATTTCATTTGTAGCTGAATCCAAGTGCCTCTGTTTTCTCCAGAATGGTTTCCAGCACACAGTAAGGTGTGCTGAACACTTTGTATCAGGACATCTTTCTTCTAATTTCTATTGCTAACAAGGATTTCAGTCTACTAAAAGCTCTGTCTTTAATACCTCGGGTAACAATAAATACTTTGGAAGTTTAGAGTTCAAGAAAATCAATGTCCCTGCCCCACTTCTTCTTTGTACTTGTTTAGAATCTCATTTTAATGAGGCCAAAGTCACAGAGACTATCTCCTGAGGGCTATAAACCATCCTTCATCCTGGCCATAGTTCTACTAACAAGCATCATTGCAAAATCATTGTATTATTTGCTAGAGGGTGAGGATAAAAATGTGAAAAACAAAATTAATGCAAATTTATCAACATTATCGAACAAAGGTTAACTCAATGATGCCTCCCTAGTGATGGACCTAGAGCTAAACTTTAATGTAAATACTGCAGCATTACCAGTAAATCAGCATCACTTAAGCCTCAGCAACATGCAGTTGAGCCATGTAACAGACCTATGTGGGTATCCGCTGAACCTAAAATGAAAGTAGGAAAAAAAAGGAAAAACCTTAGTCACATATATAGATATAACTTCAAATTGGTTTTAAAATAAGCCAAAGCCAGAGTAATACTGTCTAACCTGTAAGCCAAGAGATGCTTATAATTCCTGTTTT
The DNA here is from genome assembly GCF_000001405.40 of Homo sapiens. Classification (NCBI taxonomy): domain Eukaryota; kingdom Metazoa; phylum Chordata; class Mammalia; order Primates; family Hominidae; genus Homo; species Homo sapiens. Next base: position 14,952,226 of record NC_000008.11, on the reverse strand, counting down.
CTTGGTGACATAACAAAACAGTAATGATAATTCAGATTATGATTAGGAGTAACTCGGATTTATGAAAAAATATATTTTAGTGTGTTAGTTTATCTAGGTCTGAAACTATAATTGACCCCAGCACTCTTACCTTTCATTTTTGATGAAATCTTAATGTTGAGAAAAAAATATTTTACTTCAAGATGCAGAGTGAACACCAGGTGAGTATCAAATAAAATTGAATTATGTTAGTTGAAAAAAATTCTCATCAAATGAATTCATAAATTATGATAGGCACATCAATCAGATGCTTAAGAATGCCCACTAGGCAAGCAAATGGTATTTGTTTGAAATAAAATAGTTACCTTTTTAGGACAGATTTGAAAATGTTAATATAAAAAAGGTTAATTTTCTTCTGCTATACATGACTAATTTATGGGTTTAATAATATGCCATTGATCTGATCACAAAGATTTTTATACGCACAGATACATTAAAGTTAAGATCTCATGTTCTTGAAATAACCTGTAAATTTGGGGTATTGCTATTTATAAAAGCATGTGTCTTTAATCATTTGATCATTGTAAATTACAAATGATCATTTAGTCATAGTATATGCTGGTAATTAATTAGTTTTTGAGACGTTGAACCAGCTGTGATGTTTTCTACATTTAAATTTTGATAAACTCACTTTTATCAGATAATTCTTGACATATTACAGCTGCATTTAGGAATGATTTTGTGGTGAATACATTTATTATCTCACCATATAATCCCACAGAAGTATTTAAGAATAAGTTATTATGGTCAGTATGTAAAAATAGCCTCTTTCCTTCCTCTACCTATTGACAACGAATTTGACATGCACTATAGTGATTTAAATTCAGTTATTAGAAATCTTGAGTTCACATACAAGAAAAATATAGGAAAATAAAATAATTTTAGAATGTTCTTAATGCTAATTTTGCAGCTTATTTCCTAACCAGTTTCTATGAATTATTTTACATGAAATTAATAATTCATGTTTTAAGTCAGCATAACAAATATGATTGAGGTATAACTATAAAGAGAGTCTGTATTTAGTTCAAATTCTGTGATAAATGGGACTAAACATAAGATTACATTAAGGCCATCTGTTTAACATCCTCCCAAACACAATAACAACCAGATTTTAAAAATAATGTGGCTCCTTCATGTTATTTTCTCCACACTGTTGATGCTAACAGAAGCACTACTCATTTATCTATTTACTGTATCCCTTTGCTCTCCAGTTTTGACTGACTTACATCTACATTCAAAACTTTGAATTTTAGCCTAGAGTATTCATTAATTTTGGCTCTTTCCATTTAAATTTAAGACTTCTAATTATTTCTGTTATGAACTATTTAACCTACCTTTTACATTTTTGATTAGACTTCTAAGCCAATTTCATTATGGGTAATATTAATAATACAGATTTAAATTTAAATTTTTTTAGACTACGTATCCTCATGCATTCAACTCTTATGTATTGCTTTATGTTTTACTTTGGCTCACCACATTCACATTTCTCAAATCTTGCTTCTACATGAGTGCCTGTATTTCTGGAATTTTTTTCTGAACTATGATTTTTTTTGCCAACATCCTAACTGTAAAAGTATTATTTCTCTTACCAAGTTGAAAACACAACCCACTTGACTTATCCAATGTTACTGCTCAAAGATACTGCTAAAGAACATGTTATGTTAATGGTGATTATCAACAGTTAAAGATATTCAGTGCTTGGTCTTCTTGACACTTCTGATAAAAGGAAAGAGAAGAAGAGCAGAAGAGAAGGGAAGGGAGAAAGAGGAGAGAGGGGAGAAGACTGAACAACAAAACAGGAAAGAAGGGAGGAAAGGAGGAAGGAAGAAAGAAAAAAGGAAGGAAATGAGGGACAAAGAGGGAGGGAGATACATAAAACATTATACATGTGCTTGGCAATACAGAACTTCATCATTTGGTTTGTTCCTACTTATTGTTTCCCGTAAAGACCCTCTGGCCTATCTTTCATTTTCTCTGCAAGATGGACCTGAGAGTAGCCATTTATTTATTGAATGTTCCAGAAGATGGAATTCATATTGCAAAAGAAAATACACTACCCCTGGAGAGAGTATAGTTTTAGTATTTCAGGATTGTTTTAGACTCATTTGGATCCTGATTTATTGAAATCTGTTTTGAAAGCCTTTAGTAGCTGGGTCCAGTATTTGAAAAGGATAAAATTAAGAAAGAAATGACCTGGTGTTTTTATTATTGGTTACTCTTAAAGAAAAAACAGTTCACTTCTATTTACATTTAAAACAGCAGTCTTAAACATGAATTACCTTAACTTCCGATCTTTTGCCAAACTCTTTTATACTTTGGATGAAACGATTTTTGTTCCAGAATTATTATATTGACTATAAACCTTTATTACTTCATTTCTCATCTGCCTTGGTTTTATTGATCACAATTATAGAGCAAAACAAAACTTTATAATTAAATGTAGAGTAGCACATATTGTTAAAACATTGAGTAGAGATAATCCAAAAAGATAATTTGTTTGCCTTTATTTAGGCCAAAATTAAATGTGCCAGCAAAATGACCTCCAGAATTCACAAAATAGAAATGTCTCCATGTCTCAATAAAATATCTTGCCTTCAGTGCTCAATTCATGCCAAGATTTAATGATCTCCAAAGTATTGATTTTATCTTTAGTTTCCTGAAATAATAACTTCTTATGATAATAAATCTTCATGCTCTAGACAAATCAGTCATGTGAAGTGAAATCAGTCTTCTCTTTACACAGTAACTTTTTCTCCTGTCCATAGAGTGAAGGTTTTTCTTTTTAAAGGAATAGGTACATATTTCAGACCTAATTTTCTGTACTTTTAAAATTCAATTTGCATACTTTAAGGTCAAAAGTACAGCAATATTTCTAATTACTACTTTTCCCTAGAGAATCTTATCAGTATCTTCTTCCTTGAAAGGCGAAAATATTTTATAGCTACTATTATCATTGCCGTACTACCATCTCGTAGTTTAAAGAGAAATGTGAAAACACAGCTTCCAGCTAAAACACTTAGTATATATACTGCTATTTTAATTATCTTTTCAGGCTAATTCTTGATTTTCTGGTTGAGAAATTGAGAGAGCAAATTCTGGGCGGTGTAAGTTTCAGTGGAAATGTACCGAATGTACTTTGGATATTGTGATTTGGCAGTATGTGAGGGGAATCTTTGTGGATATGCCTGTACTTACCATCACTCAGGGGAAATCAGAGGGAAAAGAGAACACAAGAGACAGAAGGAAGAAAAAAAAGTGGAGAAATCCTGGCTTTCAAGGGGAATTTTGAGAGAGAGAGAGAGAGAGAAAAAAGCTGTAACAGGGTTAAAGAATGAATGTGAAGAAACACACGGGTGTGAAAACCAGCAAGCAAGCAAAACAAAAACAAACAAAAACCAGCAGTGTCTGGGTGTGGAAGTCAGAATAGGAAAGAGTTCAAGAAGGATAGAAGGCTTAGTCTTGTGAAATGTTGCTGATGAAAGTAACATTAGGCTTGAGGTATTCACAGAGTTTGCAAAATAGGAGGTAGTTAGTGACCTTGGCAGGAGCACTTTTATTAAAAAGGAACAGTGGAAACTACCTGGAGTAGGTTAAGGGATAAATGTCATCTAAGGAAGTCAAGACTACCAGGCTCTGCTTTTTATTGAGAAGGGAAGAAGGGTAATAATAGTATAGTTTGATCTAGCGGAGACCTCTCTCTCTCTCTCTCTCTCATAAGATAAGACAGATGAGTGTGAGGACAATCTTTTCAAAGTAGTTTTCCATTCAAACAGAGTTAATAATCTCTCTGTTTCCTTCTTAGTGGTATGAGTGAATTTTAGGACTTGGATGGCCTCCTGAGTTGTGATTATTAAATTTCCTATGGCCAGTATATTAGGAGAGAGAGAATACCCAGTTCTCATCATCTTATTATAATTCAAAGTCCTTTGACAGTTTCTGTTTCAACTAACTAGGCAATATTGATTATGATATTTTTTCCATATGCCTCCTTCACTCAGTAATTTAAATCTTGATGAGTTCTAGGATCAGGCTTAGTAAGAGAATAAATACTGTCATTCTGCTTAAAGAAAAGAATAGTACCAGTCTCTTCCTCCTTAACCCTGTACCTCCTATGGTCTGTGGAAGCTTCTCTTCTGTCCTTCTCCATAATGAAGAAGTTTCAGAAGGCTTGCCTTCTTCAAACAATGCAAAAATGCCTTTAAAATGCTGTTAGTATCATTAGATACAGCTTTGTTGGAGAGAGGTAGAACAAAGATAATTAGATCAACTCACATCATCAGATTTCAAAAATCAATCTGATGAATTTTATAAAGAAATTCCTGTTGCTCAGTAGCTGCCTATAAGGCAAACTAAATGGCTTATTAAAACATTAATGCTGTGCTTGCAGTCAAAGTTATACTGAACGAGATGCCCTGATGTCTCATGCATTAAAATTACAGGATCCTTGTGAGGTAACATCATATTTAATGCTTTTCTTTCAGGTGTCATCTATAATGGATTAAACACAGTGAATAAAATACTTAATGATATTTGCTCTTGCTCATGGCCCATAGCTTATTATTTGCACTGAAGGGGCACTACGCCTTTACTAACGGAAGTATACAAGTTTTATATTCAGTGCAGTTATAAAGTGATGCTGACTCTCCTCAACACTGTCCCTTACCTCAGCACCACACCACTTTTCCAGTAGCAGAGCATCTTTTATAAAGGATCAGAGACTGAGCGCTTTTATGTCTTGTAGAGGTTGTCCACATCAGGACAAAGAAAGAGTTATAAGGGGACAAATAAATAAAAAAGATCCAATCAATGTTCTCTGGTGCACTATAAGCCTAAATCGATCTCACTGTTTGATGTCAGCCACTGATAAAAACGGTGCCATCCAACCAAATCCAGAGATTTACCTCACTGTGTGTTTGCTAATGGTCCATTAAGAAATTTGAAATACTTCCGGGATATTTCGCTTTTGTCTCTGTGCTCATTCCTTCGCTTACGGCAGGAACAGCTTGTCCTTCCCCAGACAATCACACTATCACTTGTATGATAGATGAGAGTGTTGCTTTTCAAAGTTGGATTAAACTCTATTGATGTACTGGGGTTACTTTTCTTTTTTTTCAGATGGGGAGAGGCTGGATAAAGAAATACAAAGATTTTTTTGGTTTTCCTTCTCAAAAGTTCCTTTTATGTTTCAAACCCTAACTATAGAAAGAGGCAGTCCAGGTGCAGTGGCTCACGCCTGTAATCCCAGCACGTTGGGAGGCCGAGGCGGGCGGATCATGAGGTCAGGAGTTCGAAACCAGCCTGGCCAATATGGTGAAACCCCGTCTCTACTAAAAATACAAAAATTAGCTGGGCGTGGTGGTGGGTGCCTGTAGGTCTGGCTACTCGGGGGGCTGAGGCAGGAGAATTGCTTGAACCCTGTAGGTGGAGGTTGCAGTGAGCTGAGATTGTTCTGCTGCACTCCAGCCTGGGCAACAAAGCAAGAGTCGATCTCAAAAAAAAAAAAAAAAAATACAGATTTCTAACAAACTTCTCTGGTTTGAGTATGAAGCAGTGCCAATCCTGTTAAGAGAATAACATAGTGAACACCGGCTGTGTATGCATACATTGTGCCAGGCGCTCAGCAGAGTACAAAAGAAAAAGATGATTCATTCCCTGCCTGGTGGTTCATAACTTAGAGGGAGAACTCAATTACACAGGTGGAAATACCTGAGGCACATCATGGAGGAACACACTAATGTGTGCAAAAACCACCCTGCTGCTATTGGCTACAGGGCAGTTAGAAATGAAATGCAAAGTTTGGGACTGCGGAGAGCAGCGTTTCCTTCTGTGATGCGCGAGGAGTATACGTGGCCACTCCGAGACTAGCAGCCTATGAGAGAACGAGCCCAATGAACAGTTTACTGACATCTCCATCTTAGAGTCTACGCTCTGCTTGACTATATTGACCACTGTGAGGAACTGAGGAGGCTTCATGGTTCTGCATATACTCACCATGAGAGTGACATCAATATCCTTTCCTCTGCTTGCTCTTGACTCAGTAGTAAATCAAAACAAATGTAGTTGTATTAGTCAGGGTTCTTGAGAGAGATAGCCCCTATAGGACAGAACCAATAGTATACAGAATGATTCATATATATATATATATATATATATATATATATATATATATATATATATATGGGGACATTTAGTAGGGGAATTGGCTTATGCTATTATGGAGGCTGAAAAGTCCCATGAGAGGCCTATCTGCAATCTGGCATGCCAATAGCATGGCTCCGTGCAAGTCTGAATACCTCAGAACCAGGGAAGCTGATGATGTAACTCTGAATTTGAAGCAGAAGGTGTGAGAACCTGAGGGGGTAACTGGTGTTAGTTCCTGAGTCCAAAGGCTGGAGACAATAAGGTTCTGATGTTCTAGGGCAGAAGAAGGATGTCCCAGCTTCAGGAGAGGGAGAAAGAGAATTCCCCTTTGTGTCCTATCTGGGCCCCAGCTGATTGGATGATGCCTGCCCACATTGATTGTAGATCTCCCCCCTCAGTCTGGCAACTCACATGCCAATCTCCTCCGGAAACGCCCTTACAGACATATCCAGAAAGAATGCTTTACTAGCTTTCTAGCCATTCCTTAATCCACCCAAACTGACACCTAAAATTAAGCACCATAGTAGTCTTGATCCAAAATAGAATTTTCTTTCTTGCCAATCATTAAAATTTGACCAACTCTTCATGATAGTGCTTAGAATGACTGCCAAGCACAGAGGCCTTAGAGTAATACAAAACACAACCTTATAAGTTATAATTGAGTATCTACCATAGATCTCACACAAGGTGTGAGATAATTAATTAGGAAAGACTACTATTTGACAAAGGTTATGGAGGAAATGGGAAGATCATAATGCAAATTTGATCTATATAGATTTTTCTTGTATCATAGTTTGTCTTATTTATGATTTGTGTTCTCCATAAATTCAGCTTGTAAATGTATCATAAGGATTACTCTGTCCCCGCCCACCCCCCCCACCCACCCACACACAACATTGCCTAACCATGTCAGCTCCTGTTTTTAAGTCTCTCATTCTCATGGGGTTTCCTTGTGCATGTTGTACTTGAATAAGGTGCTTCTCTGTAGCACAAACTTTCACAGGATGGAAGTGGAAGTGAGGCTTCTGTGGTTCAAAGACTGATGCTTATGTCTTCCACTTATGATGGCACATACTGCAGGTTGCCTAAAAGGAACTGTGAACAGCATAGCTCGTGCTTTGATTTTCATGTCTGAAGTGTTATAATGTGGAGATTTAGATAATTGTCAACTTACAATGGTTTGACTTAATGATTTTTCAACTTTATGATGGTGTGAGAGGGATATGCCTTCAGTACACTCCTTGACTTAAAATGGGGTCAAGTCTCAATAAACCCATCTTAAGTTGAAAAGGGACGCACTTTCAGATTGCAAAATCCTCAGCCTACAATGGGTTTATCAGGATGTAACCCTGTGTTAAAGAGCCCATGTACATAGTATATAAGTGAATGTATTTACAGCTATTCATACAACTTAAATAACTTATCCTTGCTGACCCATATAATCTATTGGTCTATTGTTTTACTAGTAAACTGCATTCTGTTGGATTTTATTTACATTTTTAACTACTTTCTCAATCAGTTAATGTGATAGAATGGCCTAAAGTTCATTTTCAGGGTAATGAATCCACAACATAGCTTAAAGTTTTCCAGTATACTCATAACTCACATATTCTGACCATTTTTATGAAAATCATACTCCAACAGGGAAGATCATGTTGTGTTATTGTTCAGAAAATGTGGTCACCAATTCAGGACACTGGTTATTCAAAAATATTCAACAAAGCCACATTTATGTTTCTGTTGGCATGGGATTATATTAACCCCACGTTGACAACTGGGTTTTAAAACTGAGGACTAAAATGTGCTTAAGAGATCTACCAAGAACTGTAGCAGCATTCCTTAAAACTTAGCCAGAGGTGAAGACCTAGCTACCTTCAGCCTGCAGGCCCCACCCTGCCTATATGATTCGAATGAAGCGGGGAGAGGATGGCTAAGTTAGACGTTGAATTATTAGTTTAACAGGCAATTCTTGAGTATGATCATCACAGTAATATTCACAGTAGCAAATACATGGAATTCACCTAAATGCCCATCAGCAGTAGACTGGATAAAGAAAATGGTATGAAGAACACAGTAGACTGGATAAAGAAATGTAATATACCATGGCATACTACACACCCATAAAAAAGAACAAGATTACGTCCTTTGCAGTAACATGGTTAGAGCTAGAGGTCACTTTCCTAAGGAAACTAATACAGGAACAGAAAACCAAATACTGCTTATTCTTACTTGTAAGTGGGAGCTAAACCATGAGAATACATGAACACAAAGAGGGGAAAAACAGAAACCAGGGCCTACTTGAGGGTGAAGTTTGGAAGATGGGAGAGGATTAAAAAACTACGTATTGAGTGGCATGCTTTTTACTTGGGTGATGAAATAATTTGTACACCAAACCCCCAAACCCCCATGACACACAGTTTACCTATTGAACAAACCTGCACATGTACCCCAGAACCCAAATAAAAGTTAACAAAGAAAACAGGCAATGCATTGCTTTTTCTGTTCCATTCTCATAGATGGAAAGAGGCTATGAGACACCTAGTTATCTTCCAGCTGGCCTGTGCAGGGAGGAGGCCCAGCAAGCCTCACAGGCATCAGTATAGATCCAAAGAGTCAACATTTTATTTGTTCCAAATGTTAGTGGCTCCACTCAGAATACAAGGTACTTAGTGCCTTTTTGACCCTGTTTGACAGTTTTGGAGCAACCGAAGTGTTTCACTCAACATCTTGTTAAATATTTAAGGTAGAAGGATAAAATAATTATGTTGTTATTTTTTCGAAGTATATAGCCGCATTTTCAGAATGTTGGTTGCATCCTCATTCAGAGGTTGTGTTTTCTATCTTTGGAAATGGATCCTTTGCTCACACTTAAACAGTGTAGATTTAGTGAGTCAAGGGAACAGGGCAAGTATTTTGAATGTAATGTTGTGAATCACTTTTTGTATATTCTGTGAGTTCTAGTGAAGTATGACTGCATTATGACAATTCTTCTTTGTAAATAATGTTTTATTTTTCACAGTTAGAAAATGTAAGAGTTGAATGTGTCTCAATAAGACTGGCATGATTCAGCAATCAATCTAAAAATAATGGTGCATATGTTAAATAGTACTCTCTGAAGAGTAGCAATATAGCCTACTGTCAGTATTTGGGGAATGCAATGAAGTGCCTCTGAGAACTTGGAAATGAGGGTAATAAGATGGCCTTTTATACAGTTAAGTTGTAAGATAAATGCCTAATCAATCAGTATATAGATATCAAAGCACCTGAAAGAGGGAAAATGGTTCTCAACATGGCAACACTGGGCTATAACATGATTGAATATATTAGAAGATACAAAAGGGAGAAATATAGTTGTGAATAAGAGATTTTCAGTGATGGAAATTTGGGAAAATGGGTGTTACGGAGGCATACATTTGGTTCATTCAAATGCTGCCAAACAGAAGTCGTTTTTTTCCAATGAACAGTCTTCCTTAGATATATTCAAATATTTGGAGCTTTAACTGGCCTTAAATGTAAGATTATTTAGATGCCAAGGAATCTTTTGATTATGATTTATTCTCCAATTTATATCATCCTATAGGAAACTTGTGGATTACAATTTCTTTAGTTTGTTAAAAGAGTTACCCCAGGAATTAATTGCTAACTGCTACTAACTAGTAGCTATCCTACCAGTCTAATTTCTTCAGACCACTGAAAGAACAGTTGGCCTTATTTCTCATGGTAAATGTATACATTAGTGTTTTGATTTTATTCTGATTAAAATTATATTTTTAAGGAGTGTGTTATTCAGATTTTATGTCTCCCTTGGTTGAACATGAGCTCTTCCATGAGGGTAGGTCCTTTTCTGTACGGGGACTGAGTTAGGTTTATATACTCTCAAGATGTGGTACCAGATCCTGGACCCAGACAATGCATACTAGTCTAAGAGGTATCTAGGGAAACAGGCGAGCTTCAGGGCATGTCTCCTGCTGGGGGTTCCTAATGATGCTATTGACCCATTACAGAGGCTTTAAATAGCCCAATTGTTGGGCTATTAGCCAAATTCCAATATAGTATGATGATATACATGGAACAGTGTTTAATTCTCACATTAGACTCATGCATTTTACATTATATATTTTAACTTTTTCCTTCGAACTACTTTTGCCATATATATAACATATATATAAAATATAGAATAAAGGTGTACATATATTTACACATATATAACATGCAATATATGTAACATATATTACATATATATGACATGTAACATATGTTAAGAGATAATTTAAAATATCTGTTTTATGCAAAAAATCAAGTCTCTAATAAACGTATGAATAGATGTACAAACTCTCTCTAATATTCAGAAAAATACTAAATAGGCAACAATACCATTTTTGGCCAGAATTAGGCAAAGTTTATAAAAAGAGTTAACATCCAGCATTGGAGGAAATGCTTAACATATGTAATATGTTATATGTAAATGTATATGTATGTAAATCTTTATATTTCATAATTTCCTACATATTGTGTAGGGGATTAAGAGGCTGTTATGAAAATATAAACATACTATCCATGTTACTCTACAACTTGTATTTATTTTCCTGTTAATTATATAGTGTTTTAAAAACACTTTTAAAATAGCCACGTAATATTTCGCTGTATGAATGAGGCGTTAATATACCCGTTTGCTTTCCTTGTGGTAAACATTGACACTGCATTTTGGTTTTTGCCACTTTAAATAATGCTGTAGCAAACATCCTTGAATACAGATGCTTTGACACTACTGCTTTTATATCTGTAGGATAGTTCCCCCTAAATGGTATTACTATGATAAAACTTGGCGTTTTTCAAAATGTAGAAAGTTATATTGGAAAATTTTCTGCAATACCTGTGGTACTTCATTTTCACAAACAAGAAGAGTGCCTGATTCTGAGCATTCTCACCAATGCTGTATGTTAACTCTTTTTTTAAACTTTGCCTAATGCTAGGTAAAAATGGTATTTGTTGCCTGTCTATTTAGTATTTTCCTGAATATTAGGGAGTTTCCACATCTATTCATGTTTATTAGAGATTTGCTTTTTTTTGCATACAACAGATATTATAAATTATCTAATAATTGTTTATTTCCTACTAGAATGCCATTTTCGTATTAATCTGTAGGAGCCCTTTATATGTTAACAATGTAGTCTCTTTTTGGTTTATATGTGTTGTAAAACACGTAAAACGTCTCCCCCTTTCTGTGGTTTCACTTCTGACTTCATTTAAAGTGTCTTTGACCATGTGTACACAAACACAGACACACACACACATACACACTTCATTCATATATGGTCAAATACACTTACCTGTTGTTGTTTTTTCCTTTACCTTTTTGGTGCCCAGGTTTTATGTATTGCTAAAAAGATCTCCTGGCCTCCAGTGCTTAACAGAATATTTAATGAATTTTTCATGACATTTATCTTTTTGTTTATATGTTTAAATCTTTAGCCAATCTTTAATTTAATTATATATGCTTTGACTTGGAATTGCAAATTTATATTCTTTACACACACATATATTTTACTTAGGAAATGTGTGAACTTTACTAATGATATTGTTGTATATTTTTTGCTGCATGTTGATATAATTTGAGTGTGTAAATATAGCATCTAATCAATAAACTTATATAAGTAAGTCTATTTAGATCATTGGCTTTTAAATTTGAGGGCATTTTGTAGTTATATTTTATGATGCATAATGCATTAGATGGATGGCAAACATTTGATGATGATGCTATATTTTTGTCACTGTAGCTATAGTTAAATGTGGGCATGTTACTGCTATGTAATTTATAAAATTTCAGGATATCTCTGGGCTTTTTGTCTTGCCTGGTATAAATCTGAAGAACTTGGGTTGTTATGCTATTTTGGCTTTTGATTATCACTGATTTCAGAAGGTAGGATAGATGGGTTCAAAAGGAACATGTTTTCCAGTGACTTAAGAGTGGCCCTTAAGAACATATCCTTGTAAAAAACATAAACAAAACTTGTAAACAGTCACCTAACTGAATTACTTCTATTGACTGTCTGCTGTGCTAATCCCTAAGAATTGAAATAGATGTTTCAATGAAAGAACAGCCCCATTTATAAGTATGCCATTAAACTAGGTAGAGAAGGAAGTGATGAATACTTGAGCTGACATCAATGTGGTTTTAATTCTTTGAATTGTGACAAAGTAGGGTGAAGGCTGGAGAGGAGAGGAAATCAGGAGAGTGGTGTGTGTGAGTGGAAATTGTAGAAGCTGCTTCCCTTGAGTGAACACTGTTTGCGCCGGTCTTACCTGGGAGTTTCTATGTTTGCACATCAAATGTATCTGTGGACTGGTGATGAATTTTTATGAGCTCGTACAAAATGAATATTTACATATGATAATACTAATCTGTCAGTTGTCCAGTATTCTGAGATGACATCCACTCTCTTTTTCATTTTAAAATATCATTTCTTTGATGAAGCGACTGTGCTAAGTTTTGTTGCTTGAGTAATTTCATTTTGTTTAATTTAACCATCCTCATACGATAAAAAGTTGTCTGCCTGATTTTATTTGCTCATTAAATTTGTTTTGGGGAGTGTGTTTTAGTAGGTGAAATGTCAAAAAATAGGAAGCATTAATTTAGGAACTGTTATATTCTGAGGGAATTTCAATCCTGACCATGTTTTGAAGATGTTGAGAGCAAGGTAGATGCTTAACAGTTTGAGCTAGGTTTTGATTTTCAGATCCTTACAGTATAAATGGAGACACAGAGTGTCTTTAGCTGAATACCAGCTGCTGACAAAGGTACCCTAGATCTGGGTCAGGACTAACTCAAGTCCTGAATGCTATCTTTGAGTGTTAGTGTTCATTGGAATCTGATTCTAACCAGCTAAGCACATCCAAGATTGAAATAGAAATCATCAGGAATCCTGGAACAGATTGAAGTACCTGGAAAGGTCCTAGAGCTCTTTAATGAGTTTGCTAAGTGAGGTGCTGGCTCTGCCTCTGACTACTCCATGGAGTAGCTGCTGTTTGTTTTGGTCCTGCTTTGCCAGGGCGCAGACTGAAAGACACTGAGGCAGTCTTGGGCTTAGCAGAAAATAATGCAGTACCCTTAGCCCTTTGAATCCATAGGTTCAGCATTTGGGGATTCAACCAACTGCGGATACAAAAATACTTGGAAAAAAATGGGAGGTTGCATCTGTAATGAACTTGTAAAGATGTAAAAAAAAAAAATTATCATTGTACCACAGCTTATCTCCTACTTATAAGTGGGAACACACGGTATTTGGTTTTCCATTCCTGAATTACTTCACTTAGAATAATGGCCTCCAGCTCCATCCAAGTTGCTGCAAAAGGTATTATTTCCTTCTTTTTTATGGCTAAATAGTATTCCATGGACATAGAACTTTTAACTTCCCCAAAATTAGCTACTAATAGCATACTGTTGACTAGAAGCTTTACCAATAACATAAATAGTTAACACATATTTGTATGTTATGTATATTATATACTGTGTTCTTATAATAAAGTAAGCTAGTAAAAAGAAAATTTTAAGAAAATTATAGGGAAGACAAAATATATTTACTATTCATTGAGTGGAAGTGAATCATCATAAATGTCTTCATCTTCATCATTTTCACATTAAGTAAGCTGAGCAGGAGGAGGAAGAGGAGGGATTGGTCTTGCCATCTCAGGAGCGGCAGAGGTGGAAGAAAATCCACACATAAGTAGACCAGCACAGTTCGAAAGTATGTTGTTCAAGGGCCAACTGCATATTTATTTTTGAATCCATATCTTCCTCTACTGTTTTCATTTCTGGCTTATTCTAACGCTATTTCCAGTTACAGCTACAGTATAAAAGTAGATGAACATAATGTATTTCAACATGCAGAACTTGTATAAATCAATATAAAACAGTGAACAACACCAAAAAACATTTTACAAATATAATATGCATCATTATGTATATATGTGTTAGTGTATATATGATTTTCTAAAAGTGCAAGAATTACAGAGTGAATTTTGAATGTTCATAAAGTTATTTCCAATCAAACATTTCTTAAGCTGACTTTCCAAATAAAAGTATGTACTTAGCTCATGAATCCTGACCTTACCCTAGATTATATTATATCCAATGTCTTATATTACTTATTCATTCATCATGAATTTTTAAAAATATCAGATGTTATGCCTTTATAACATTCCTGATTGTTCAACATATATTTCATTCATTACAATCTGCATTCATTTATGAATTTATTACATAACATTTAAAAACAAAACTGAGAAAAAAATATGTATTTGACAAAAAAACTTACAGAAAAAGGATATCTAAAACAAAATTGTAATTTAAGAGCTCAACACAATTCATTGTTATTTTCTATTGTAATGAAAGAGATTTTCATAATAAAAATGAGATTTTGCATTGGTTCCTCTATATGCGTACGTATATATGTTCATGAGTTAGTTTGGTTTTTCCTTCCCTCTCAAATTTTTCTTCCTTGGCTGATATAACAAAGAGATAACTTGATAAAATGAGTTGTAGGGTTTTTGTAAGATTTTCCAATTTTTGTTTCTTATGAAGGCATTGGAATCATTTGAGGCTTGAATGTTTGCTAAAGCTGACCTTAAAAACAACATGGATCTGTGCTTTTTGGGAAAATAATTAAAACTTCAAAATTGCTAATGTTCATAAGAATTCAGTTTTCCCATCTATTCACTATTTGATGTTGGTGAGTTATCTTTTTTATGAAATATTTTATTTAAGTTGTCAAATTAAATGCAACATTTTTAAAATAACATATAACTATCTCTTTAATTCCTATAATGTCTATATTTTTGATCTAGCTTTAATTTTAATATTGCTAATTTTTACTGTTTCTCTTTTCTGTTGAACAATGTTGCCAAAGAGTGTTTAAGTTTATTAGTGTATTTAGATAATCAACTTTTGGCCAGTTTAAACTTTTCATTTTTATCTTATTTTCTATCTTATTAATCTCTGCTCTTATCATTACAGTCTCCTGTACACACTCTTTGGTTAATGTTATTGTTCTTTTATAAACTTTTTAATTTGAAATATTGTGTTTTTTAATTTTTAGGATTTATTTTTCCAATCTAAGCCTTTAGTGTAGTAAAGTTTAATAAATATCATTTTAGTGTATTCTACAGATTTTGATATATAGTCCCATTAAAATGGAATATTTTGAGATTTTATTTTTATCTTGATTTGTTTTTTGAATCATTAGTTACACTTTCTTCATAATTTCGAATCTCATTTTCAAACACTGACATTGTTTGTATTTAACCACTCTAATTTAAAGCCAAGTAATGTGGTATGTATGACCTAATCTTTGGAAATTTATTTAGCCTCTGTTTGTGGTCTATTTTTATCCTTATGAACCAAAAAATAATAGGGATTCTATAATGACTGGGTTCAAAGTTTTATATATAAATGGTCCCTGACTTATGAAACTTACAAAAGTCCAACTTAAAATTTTTTGACTTCATGGTGGTGCAAAAGTGACACTGTTAATATGATTTGATAGAAACCATACTCTGAGTATGTATACACCCATTCTGTTTTTAACTTTAAGTACAGTTTTCAATAAATTACGAGATATTCATTACTTTATTATAAACTAGGCTTTGTATTACATGATTTTGCCTAACCGTGAGCAAAGTATTCTGAGCATTTAAGGTAGGCTAGGCTAAGATTTGATGCTTGGTACGTTAGACATATTAAATGCATTTTAAGACTTAGGGTATTTTCAAATTATGATGGGTTTATCAGAATGTAACCCCATTGTAAGTCAAGGAGCATCTGTGTGTTTATTAAATCAAGCTTTATACTTGTTAAAACATCGTATAGGCTTATTGGATACCTTTCCGCCTCTTCTACCCACTCCTGAATTACATGTAGAAAATCTTGATCTGTGATGGGGGAATTTGTCCACTTTTCTTTATAATGATGGCAATTTTGAATATTTAAAGTCTAGGTACATACAAGTTTTGAATTGTTACATTATCTTAGTGAATCGATCATTTAATCGCATGGAAATTGTCTTCCTTATTCCATTAGTACATTTTTGTTTTAAATTATTTTCTGTGTCTGATACAAATAGAGCAAATCAGCTCTCTTTGTTTATTATTTTGTTTCTGGTTTTCATCATTTTTTCTTCCATACTTTGAGTTCTTCTGATTTAGCAGGGTCCCTTTATATGTATTTTGCTGTTTTGATCTTTCGTCTATCTTAATAGCCTTTGTTTTATAATTGGAAATTTCAGTTAATTTATAGTTATTGGAATTGCTGACTTTTTAAAAGTTACTTTATTCTTGTTTATTTTGTTGATATTTGGAGTAATTATAATTTTGTTGTATTTATTTTATTTTCCCCATTTACTATAAATTGCCTTTGACTTTTTATCTGCACCTTTAATTAATAAATATCTAAGTTTTATCAATACTCTTGTTCTTGATCAAAGTGATTCAATGATCTTAAGAGTACTTTATCTCTGATTCAATTTTAATGATTGTTATCCAATACCATAACTGGATCTTTTAATAAGACATTAACATCTACCTTTTTTTCTCACAGTAGGATTATTTATTATTACAAAAATAACAGAGTGACCCAGATGTCCTTCAACAGGTGAATGGATAAATAAATTTAGGTAAAATCACACTATGAAAGACTTACCATAAAAGAAAGTTATGTATGTCAACATGGAAGAATGTCACAAATGTAGTATTAAGCAAATAATGGAAGTTGCAAAAGGATACATGTGATACCATGTATATGAAATTTAAAAACATGCAAAAGTATGGATTTAAGATAACATCTACTTTATAAAAAATAAAATATCTTTTAATAAGACATTAACATCTACTTTTTAAAAAACAAAATCAGCCTGTTTAAATATAATTTATACTTGCACTTTTTGTGTTTTATTTTCATCATAATATTCTTTAGCTATATTGTAATTTTTAGAAATCATCTCAGTTTTCACCTTTAAAAGTTTTTTTTTTTTTTTGCATTTTGTCTTCCTTTTTAAAAGCTGTTTATTGTGGATGAATAACTCTGAATAACTCTAAGTTGAGGGGCTTTGAAGGATTATTTTTTTTTCAGTACTGGGAGATTATTCAATGATTTTAGGATTTTACTTTTCTTGTTTAGGAGAAACCTGTCTGTCTAGCTGTTGTTTCTTTGTAGGTAGCCTATATTATTTCTTCAGATATATTTAGTCATTTTTCCTGCCTTTTTTGTTTTTAGTTTCACTTTGATGTGTCTAGGTATGTATTTATTTAGGCTTCTTGAATTTAAAAATTTATATCTTTCATCACTTTAAAAAATTATCCTTTATTATTATCCCTTAACATTTTGTTTTTCCCTCATTCTGTCTTAATTTTGCTTCTAGAAATGTGGAAGTTTCTCAATATATCCTCAAGTGTCTTAAGCCTTATTTCATATTTCTCTATTCTTTATCTCTCTGAAATGTAGTCTTCGTATTTTCTTCAGTTCTACCTTCTGAATGGCTAATTATATCTTCATCTGTGGCTAATCTCCTTTGTAAAATGTCCATTTAATTTTCTGTTAATCTACTTTTTCATTACTAGAAGTTCCCTTTGGTCTTTGCTCAATAATCTTGATTATTTTATGATCTCCCTTTCCTTATTTATACTTTCAATCCTGGAACCTCATGAATACTTTTAATTTAAATATATTAATTACAGACACATATATTTTATATACAGTAGTCCCAGTACTTAACATTTCTGCAGATTTTATTCTGCTGTCTATTCTTTCTGGTAGTTTTCATGCGGTGGTGCCCTATTCCATTCTGGATTTGGTGACTTCTGATTATGAATACATATTCTTTAGAACACTGTCCATAAGTTTTATTTGTAAATACATTGCCCTAGAAAGGATATGTTTTTGTAAGGACTAATGACTTGGGAATATTTAGTATAAATTATTGGCTATGAATTCTTATTAATTATTGGCTATTTTTTAGGGAAAATTCTGATAATTGAGAAACACATCGATAAGAGGGCCTGTTGGTAATTATGAATTTTTGGAATTTTTCTTCTTCTCCACCCACCGTAAAGATTAAGAACATTTTCTTCTGTATATTTTGTCCCTGTGTGTTTTTAATGTTCACCCATCCATTGAAAAATAAATGGTGATCAAAATATTTAACAATTGGTATGGTACGAGCACTGGCCAATTAGACTAGATATTAGCCATAGCTATTGGCATAGCTGTATCAGTGTATACTATTTAAAAATCATTCCTGCAGGCTGGCCGCGGTGGCTCATGCCTGTAATCCCAGCACTTTGGTAGGCCAAGGCGGGCAGATCACGAGGTCAGGAGATCGAGATCATCCTGGCTAACACGGTAGAACCCCATCTCTACTAAAAAATACAGAAAAAAGAAAGAAAGAAAGAAAAATTAGCCGAGTGTGGTGGCAGGCGCCTGTAGTCCCAGCTACTCTGGAGGCTGAGGCAGGAGAATGGTGTGAACGCGGGAGGCGGAGCTTGCAGTGAGCAGAGATGGTGCGACTGCACTCCAGCCTGGACGACAGAGCGAGACTCCGTCTCCAAAAAAAAAAAAAAAAAGAAAAAAAAAGTATATGGAATAAAACTCCTTCAATGGTGCTGAAATACTCTGGTTCCATTTTTGCAGAGAGCTCATGTCAAACCTCTCACCTTAGATGAGCCCTGTTTTCTGGGTCCTCTTTCTCTGTCTGCATGAACCTTCAAATGAGGCTGTAAGTTACTAGGTTTTGGCAGATATTCTTTTTTTCCAGCTCTTATTTTAGGTTTAGGAGGTACATATGCAGATTTGTTACATGGGTGAATTGTGTGTTTCTGACGTTTGCTGTACAATTGATGCTGTTACCGACGTAGTGAGCCAAACACTATGTTACCTAGGTGGTGAGTCAAAAACTGTGTTGAAAAACAGTTTTTCAGCCCTCATCCCCCTCCTGCCCTCCCTGCTGTCATAGTCCCCATTGTCTCTTGTTTCCATCTCTGTGCCTATGAGTATTCAATATTTAGGTCCTACTTATAAGCAAGAACATGTGGTATTTGGTTTTCCCTTCCTGTGTTAATTAACTTAAGATAACGGCCTCTTGAAATGAATGCCAGATTTAGTGCTTACTTACCACTAGATGCACAGTTTTCACATCACACTTTTGGACTTTGACATTTTTTCTTGTTTTAGTTCAAGCTCTGTAATGCATTTAGAAAAGATTATTAAAATGTTACCAAGAAATATTAGTTGTTTTGGAGTGGAAAGTTTGTTTAGACTATTAATTTTTTAAAAAATTACACATGTGCTTGAAGGTCATGTGGGCTCTCTGTTGGATCCACAATCCTACACTATTAGCACTTTACACATTTATTTTTGTTTTGCCTTGCTTGGCTGAGAGCTATTCTGAGGATAATGGTTCTTTTAGTAAAATATGTTATAATTTCAGTAGCTAGAGTATAATAGTAATTCTGTCATTGCCCCTTCCCTTCTTTCTCTCTTAAAATTAAGGGAAAATTTGAAGTACCAAATTCTTTACACAGAACGAATGCACCAACTTTACTTTATAGAGCCTGAAGTCAAAATTAGTTTTATTGCATCCTTTACATCATGATGAAAGAGACATTTTGCATTTATCCAGTCATATTAGAATGGAAAATGGCCTGAAATGAAAAGAGAAAACTGTTACTAGAGTTTGCCAGAAGCTACTTATGAAGAAATCGAGAAGTTTTATAACAAAAGATTTTATGTTATAATATTTTGAAACTTTCAAAATCTAAGCATTTTAACCTTTATAATTTGTTAACATATGTTTAATTTTATTAGGGGCAGGAATGATTTTCAATTGTCACCAGAGAACTATGTACTATGTTATTTTCTTCATATTTTACAGTTCAAAAAGTAAAATTTATATGTCACATTCTATTTCCAGCATTATGGTAATAATGATGTTGTAATTTCAATTATAAATACTGAAAAAATGGACATACTTTATATTTAACAAATTGTATATTTAATTATGGAAATATGATGCAGGACTCACTTTTAACATTATGCGAGCTGTCTCCATGAAGAGACACACTAAGAAAACATCTTATTGGTTATTGGTCAAGATAATGTTTCAGGTGGATTCACAGTGTGTCAAGGTTAAAACAGTTATGAATAAATAACAAGAAACAAAAAGTTTAATAAAAGTGAAATAAGAATGTTGGGAGTGGCTGACTGACGAATTTCCATTAAATGTTCAACCCTTGGACAAAGCTCTTTTTAATGACTTCTAAAGGCTTTAATGTTAGAAGAAAGAATGTCAAGTACTATATTTATTTTATAATGTTCCGTAATTCACATATGTAACATTAATTTATTCAATCTTTTCAGTATAATATCTGAAAATTATCTAAATGGCTCCAGAGCTCACTTGAAAAGACTATCATAATCAGATTTTTTGCAAACAAAAGCCAGGTTGCTAAAAAATTCAAGGTTATGCTGCATGTCATTTTGTTATTGCTCTTGATTTTATCAGTGGCACTAATGAGAGAATTGAAATAATGTACAGATGGGTCTCTAGAAACACTAGTAAATATATCCAAGGTGCAATGTAAATATCTTTCTGGAATATTGAATTTTATCTATTATTTATTGTTAAAACACAAATAACAAAGTAGGAACTCAAGAATAGATCAAACTATTTGAAATTTAACTTAAGAAAAGTTATAAAATGACTGCAAATTCATGTTATCAGGAAGGTAATAAACTATAAGTGAATAAAATGAGATTTTTTTTACCCCTTAGTTCTGATTAAATGGTAAGTGCAGATTATGTAATCAAGAATCCAGCAAGGAAATTGGTAAAAGTTAATTTGAAATGATGAAGGAAATTATGCAGCTAATATAATATCTAAGACACCTCGTTAAAAGCCTCATACCAGATTTGGAATCTGAGAAAACATAAAGTATTTGAGAAAAATATGCAAAATAATGTATTCAAACAAATTACATTTTTTAATTATACTTTAAGTTCTGGGGTACATGTGCAGAACGTACCGGTTTGTTACATAGGTATACACGTGCCATGGTGGTTTGCTGCACCCATCAACTGTCATCTAAAGTAGGTATTTCTCCTAATGTTATCTCTCCCCTACATTAGGTATTTCTCCCAATGCTATCCATCCCCTAGCCCCTCACCCCTCTGACAAGCCCTGGTGTGTGATGTTCCCCTCCCTGTGTCCATGTGTTCTCATTGTTCAATTATGAATGAGAACATGGGGTGTTTAGTTTTCTGTTCCTGTGTTAGTCTGCTGAGAATGATGGTTTCCAGCGTCATCCATGTCCCTGCAAAGGACGTGAACTCATCCTTTTTTATGGCTGCATAGTATTCCATGGTGTATATGTGCCACATTTTCTTTATCCGGTCTATCATTGGTGGGCATTTGGGTTGGTTCCAAGTCTTTGCTATTGTGAACAGTGCTGCAAGAAACATACATGGGCATGTGTCTTTATAGTAGAATGATTTATAATCCTTTGGGTATATACCCAGTAATGGGATTGCTGAGTCAAATGGTATTTCTAGTTCTAGATCCTTGAGGAATCTCCACACTGTCTTCCACAATGGTTGAACTAATTTACACTCCCATCAATAGTGTAAAAGCTTTCCCATTTCTCCACATCCTCTCGAGCATCTGTTGTTTCCTGACTTTTTAATGATCGCCATTCTAACTGGCATGAGATAGTATCTCATTGTGGTTTTGATTTGCATTTCTCTAGACAATTCCTGATGAGCTTTTTTTCATATGTTTGTCGGCTGCATAAATGTCTTCTTTTGAGAAGTGTCTGTTCACATCCTTCGCCCACTTTTTGATGGGGTTGTTTGTTTTTTTCTTGTAAATTTCAAATAACTTACATTTAATTCACAATATCATATGATTCGTAAGTCATTCCCAGTTTAATAAAGAACAACTCCAAATTTTTGAAGTGCTTGCTAAGACTCCAAAACAAATTTCTCTCAAAGTTCAGGGATGTCAGGATTTATCTTGATTATGAGAAATTGTACTGAACATCCAAGTTTTAAATAGTGAAAATGCTGTTATGTAAAAACTCAATAATATGATTCCTGGCCATAATTGTTTGGTAAATAACAATTACCAAGTGTAAGTCACATTTCGTGCCTGTCATTCTGTTGAAATAATGAGGAGGAAAACTACTTCCACCACATTTCATATCCTTCTAATGTTAAGGTGTTATCTGTTTCTGGGCAATAAAGACATTAATTACCCATGAAAACCTGCATTCATACCACTGCTGTCAGCTGTGGATTTTATACCTAGTTTATCTCTGACATAACAAAGGGCCTTACAAAAGGTGGTTCCACAGTGCAGATATAGAGACTAATGGGGATCTGCTGAGTGTATATTCCTTCTTTGGGAGGCTCAGAATAAGTTACCAAAATTATATTTGAATTTATTTGACTCCCCTGAGGCCCACAGGCCAATGGTCATTGTGTTAGGCTGCGTCAGCCTCAGGTTCACCTAATGTCTATAGGACATTTATTTCCCAGGCATTCGGTAAGATACTTTCCTAACAACATATCTGGGTGAGAGTATCAGTTTGGCACTTAAACTGTCATAGTATGAAAATTCAGCCTTACTCTCATATCTAAAGCATATGCCTCTCACTTTATATAGCAGCACAGAGTGTCTACACTAGGAGCACATTTAAAAATGCAGTCATTGGCCAGGCGCAGTGGTTCACGCCTGTAATCCCAGTACTTTGGGAGGCCGAGGCGGGTGGATCACGAGGTCAGGAGTTCGAGACCAGCCTGGCCAATATGGTGAAACCCCATCTCTACTAAAAACTACAAAAATTAGCTGGGCGTGGTGGTGCACGCTTCTAGTCCCAGCTACTCAGGAGGCTGAGGCAGGAGAATCACTTGAACCCGGGAGGTGGAGGTCGCAGTGAGCCGAGATCATGCCACTGCACTCCAGTCTGGGCAACAGAGTGAGACTCTGTCTGAAAAAATAAATAAGTAAGTAAATAAATAAATAAATAATTTAAAAATGCAGTCATGAATTTCATAACATCAAGCTCCTGTCAAATAAAGGCATTTGATAATGGAACAAATTTAATATTTGAGAGATGGTATAATAGGCACATTATCCATTCATTTCTGTATATTAAAATAAACACATTTTGTCTGCATACTAAATTAGATTGCCAGAAAAATTACATACGCAAAGCTGTCACAATTCCTACCTGTAGAAATACCTTCAAATCTGTTATGCTTTTAACATTTATAGCAATTCTGTATTTTAAAATGTCAATTTGAATAACAATTATGTTCTTAACAAAGATACAATGGAATAATTTTCCACCACTGAGGACCCCAGTAATATAATTCTCCACAAATTAATGAGATTAAAATTGTGTAAACTACTTTGTTTTCATTTTTAAACCTTAATTAGCACCACGTTTAAAGCTAAATTTAGAGGCAAATTGTAAAAATCAGCAAATCTCTTATGTCTGGTAATATGTATTTCCTCTATTCTGGTGAGATACTTCCTATTTTATTATATTGTCATCGCGTTTTATAGTAGTTTTAACCTCCATATCATTATTCAGTTAGTGTAGAACTCTGTAGAATGTAAGAAGAGTAACCACACTTTTCTCCCTGAGCACAGACATATTTATGGAAACAAAAGGCTAGCATATTTGACGTTGAGTATGAATGAGAAATTCCATGGCGTATGATCATAACTAGAAGTCCTATGCCAACATTCTGATTGAAATATTTTATGTAATCAGTCTTCATTCTTGAATGATGTCATTGACATTAATTTCCTTATTACTCAGAGATAATCTGAGCAAGAGATAAATTTATCTGCAACATGGCTTTGATAAATATTTTCACACAGCATGGATGGCAGAGTGACAAGCCAGTTAGGAAGGACTGCACCCTAAAATTTCATAAAGGCAGAGGCCTCTGGCAGATGCTGGACAAACACTCAAGAATCTGGAGTTGAGCTAAGGCCAGAAAAAAGGAGATGACTTTGACTGAACCTTAGTGACATCCAGGTTCTTGGGATGTTGAAAAATCATCAAATATGGTACTAATGAAGTTGGTTGCATTCCATGGCGTCTTTCTCCCTCTTTTCTGTTATGGGTAGGGAAATCTTGGTACTATATGTATTAATTATTGAAAGAAGAAACATAGGGTCAGACTAGAAGTTAACCCTTTAATAAGGCAAGACCATGCCGAGTCAACGCATTTTGCTTTCAAGTCTTCAATGAATGTATTCTTTTTCTCAATGTTTTACTGCATTAAGAAGATGAAATAACTGCATAGTAAAGTTATTTCAACAACCTCATCAAATAAATATATTTCTGGATCTTTTTCTTCCTACCTCTCTGCCTCCTTCCTCCTTGGTTTTTCCTTTCTCTTTTTAAAAATTCTCTCATTTCGTCTCTCTCCCTCTTCTTTCTTCCTCTTCCTTCTTCTTGCTCTTCTTCTTATTTCTCTACCTTGTTTATTCTCTCTCTCCCTTACACTTTGTATCTCATAAGTAAAATCCACTTTTGAAGTGTTTTATTTTTTGGAGTTTAAGAATCAGGAACTTGGCCGGGCGCGGTGGCTCACGCCTGTAATCCCAGCACTTTGGGAGGCCGAGGCGGGCGGATCACAAGGACAGGAAATCGACACCATCCTGGCTAACACTGTGAAACCCCATCTCTACTAAATATAGAAAAAAATTAGGCGGGCGTGGTGGCGGACGCCTGTAGTCCCAGCTGCTCCGGAGGGTGAGGCAGGAGAATGGCGTCAACCTCGGAGGCGGAGCTTGCAGTGAGCCGAGATCGCGCCATTGCACTCCAGCCTGGGTGACAGAGCGAGACTCTGCCTCACAAAAAAAAAAAAAAAAAAAAAAGAATCAGGAACTTTGATACTTTGATATAGTATATTTTAAATTTAAATTTTCTATAAAAATGTAGTTGATACTGAAAGACTATATACTGTGTCCATAGGAATGTGATATTCTGGAAATGTAAGGAAAGACTTTTGATGTCATTTCTCCATTAAAATCAAAGTGTCGGCCAGGTGTGGTGACTCACGCCTGTAATCCCAACACTTTGGGAGGCTAAGGCTGGTGGATCACGAGGTCAGGAGATCACGACCTTCCTGGACAACATGGTGAAACCCTGTCTCTACTAAAAGTAAAAAAATTAGCTGGGTGTGGTGGCGCATGCCTGTAATCCCAGCTACTTGGGAGGCTGAGGCAGGAGAATCGCTTGAACCAGAGAGTTGGAGGTTGCAGTGAGCTGAGATCATGCCACTGCACTCCAGTCTGGCAACAGAGCGAGACTGTCTCAAAAAAACAAAAAAAAACCACACACACGGAAAAACAAAACAAACAAACAAAAAACTGTCTACTGAGTTTGCCCAAGAAATATATTTCCCCAAGAAATATATAACCCCAAGAAATCAGGATGGTGAAATACAATTTCAGTACAACATTTGTTTAGAACAAAGAGGAGAAACAGTACATCTGAGATGCTTACGTGATAAATGTGCATGTTTGATAGGGATGATACTTATCTAGATCCAAAAAAATTTAGCAAAATCAAAGAATATGAATTTTTAACATTGATGGTTCTATAAGTATTTACCTTATCAACATAGTTTAGTTTAATAACCTAGATTAGATATAACAATTTGTGCAAATGAAACATGATGACAATATTTTTTCGATGATCTTTTATTATTTTTTATGCTTATTTTATATAAAATTGTCCAAAATTTGAACGACAAATGAGTATAAGAACATGCATATATTACTTAAAAAGCTGTTTGCATTAATATCTATGTTGCTGAAAAAATGAAATATTTTTACTGAAATCAAAGTTTGCGTTTAATGACCTGTGTTCTTCTTAGGGATTGTCCTATACATTAATCCTGATTTATCTTTTTCCTTTTGGGAATTCATTTACATTCTTCACATAGTTAACTTTAAGACTCACTGAGATAATGTGTACTTCAGCTATCTGTTTACAAATCATACTGTTGCTATTCAACAGTGTAAAAAACAACATCTCTGCCCTGTTGTCACTATTCTGCCCATAAAATGTGTCCAAAGTAGGTAGGCTTCCTTTTATGCATTTTTTTTTTCTAAATTCCCAAGGTATCCCTTCTTATCAGACCTTAGTTTCCTTCTCTGGTGCTTATGGAAAATAAGGGACATGGAATTGATTGTCTGTCCTTTTCCTGTCCATCTGGTACAGCAATGAAAAAGTGAAGCCAGATCAAACCCTGGAAATTGAAAGTATTGTCGTGTCTGAGGGACTCAAACCTTGCCACACTGGATCTGGCATAGGATGCTTCTTGAAGGATTCGTTAGATTGGTGCAAAAGGAATTGTGGTTTTTGCCATTACACTTAATGTCTTTTCAACCCACACGGGCAAGCTGTAGGTCTCCAGAATTTCTGCCTATCTGTTTATAGGCAATGCATCTCCTTGAGAATGAAAACTTAGCCTTTAAGAAGCATCTTGTTATAAATTACTCTGTTAGGTCAAGTCCTGGACATTTTCATTCTTAGTACATAAATATAAAGGACAAAACTGTTAGCATGCAATTGTCCTTTCCTTTTTCCGGGATTCCCATGCTGTGAGTACAATGCAATAAAATATTAAGAAATTAACATATTAATAAACTAAGCCATAAGAAATGCTATGTGAATTAGAATAATAGTCTACTCAAAAGAAAATTTTGTCTTCGACAGTGATAGAGACCATATTAAGACAGTTTGTGGTATACGTATGCATTACAAAAGAAAATTGACTTTTAAACTTAACTGCTGCAGTAAAGAAAATGTCTTGGCTGGGCCTGGTGCCTCACGCCTATAATCCCAGCACTTTGGGAGGGTGAGGCAGGTGGATCACTTAAGCTCAGGAGTTCGAGAGCAGCCTGGCCAACACGGTGAAACCCTGGCTCTACTAAAAATACAAAAATTAGCCGGGCATTGAGGCCCGCACCTGTAATTGCAGCTACTCGGGAGGCTGAGGCACAAGAATCGCTTGAACCCAAAAGGCAGAGGTTGCAGTGAGCTGAGATGGCGACATTGCACTCCAGCCTGGGTGACACAGTGAGAATCTGTCTCAAAAAAAAAAAAAAAAAAAAGTCTTAAATTCCTAGATAAAGACATACAGGAACCATACTTAAACGTAAAACAATGATAATGTTAATATGACTATTTAACAAATCAAACTTTTAACATTTTGTGTTTTTTAGCCTCAAACTCAGTTTACTATGTTGAAAAATATTTGGGGAATTTATCTAATTACTATCTTTCTGAAATTCATTTTTATAGAAAGTAAATGCTAAATAAATGTCACTAACAAACATTGCCCACCATGAACACTAGTTTTTCCATGTTAAAAAATCTAGAAATATGTGGATAAGCTTCTGATGTAAATAGGAAGGCGTGCTTTTTTTTTTGTACTTATTCATGATAATTTAAGTTATTCACCTTTATTAAAGAATACCACAAAATATAAAACCTATTAATGGATTTTGCTTTTAACAAAGCTAATTTTCTGTAATATCCTTATAGTTGACATTTGAAATCTTATTAGGTGCTTTCATCTCTAGTGTCATGTAGGAAAACATTTTATTCTGCCTTCTTGGGTTCATTTACAGCAGGTCTACAAAGTAATTGACAAACCATAGATTAACAGGAGTGAAAAACTTCATTTCTATACAGGAACTAACAGAAGATGTAACTAGCTTACTAAATGCTTAAAGTTAGAGGCTTATATACATTAGTAGGAGAAAGAAAAGAAATGAAAACACTACTGTGGGAACAACAAATAGGTTTTCTTAAAGACTAAAGGATTTTTAGAACAAACGTGAGACAAAAACTTGTGATGTTCATTTATGCAGGTGCGAGTGGCTTTACTGCCTTCATCACAACCATGAAACTCCCCTTAAGAGGGGATTTAGGGAAGGTTTACCCTCTGTCTCTGTCCTGGGAGTAATTTATGACAGCCTTATTTTCCAGAAGTTGCTGCCTTTTGTCACATAAGGGAAGCTCTGAGAAGGCTTCTTTCTGTATTTGTTGAATCTCAAATCCCTTGCATTCAAAATAATCTTCGTACCAACTCTGGGGTTCTCAATGGATCCCTACAGTTGAACGTCTGTAATTTCATTTTAGTTGTGCTTGTAGCAGAATCACCAGCTGTACTGATGATTATAAAATACAATTTAAAAACATGAATTTAAAAAATAAACAATAGCCTCTAAGCATACGGCAAAGAATGAGCTTTTGACTAAACAGCAACAATTGTTCTCCTGTGATATAAATTCCATGCAACTTTATGTTTCCAATGTACTTTAAATTGTTCTTTGCATTTGAATTCCCTTACCTTATGCAGTGAAGTAGAGAAGAAATCTTGAAGTGATTTTTAATTAATTGAACAGATAGGGACACCATGAATATATGTGTCCTGGGAGTTTCGTACATTTCGTAACTGTGTAAAAAAATCTCTATAAAAAGCAAATACTATGGGAACCATTTCAGTTCAGTTAACTGATACCATCTCTACATTGTCTCTGCACATCCGACTTCTGTTATCTACTTCCAGAGAGGCTCATTTCTTATTCTCTGAATATTAAGGAAGGTAAATTTGTGTATTTTTAGTAGAAATACATGCACTCAATGGAAAAAATTTCCATCTTATTAGAAATATTGAAATAGATAATAGCAACCATTCCATTGAGTCAAAGTAGAATAAAGGCTGCCTACACTGGCCAATGTCTTCTAGAAGCCAGTGCTGTTTTGCTGGTGAGAGTAGAGGAACCAAATCTGTACTCTGAAGTTTTTGGACAATTTTACTTGAGCTCATAGTTTCTTTTTCCTGTCAGGAGATGACTTTGCAGACACTAGCTGTAAAATTTCAGTTTAGGAAAACACATGTAATTGCCCTTTAAAAAAATTCAAATATGTGTGCAAAACAAAGGCAAAACCTAATGTGTAGAAGCTCATCATTCAATTATAAAAGTACTGCAGTCAATGCTAAGAACTGATGAGAAAACTTTATGAGAAAATGTCTTCCTCTGTGGTTGAATGTAAAATACATAAATCAGTGGAATATAATTCTCCTAAGAAATGTTCCTTGATTTCCCAGGATTTTTGTAACTGAGTATTTACTTCCTTTTATGGTAACATTTGTTTTGGTCTCCATCTCTAATATGTATATATTGCACTGAATTGTTATTTTATCTTGAATGTATGCAAAAATGCTTTAGAAGATTAGAATCATATCTTAGATTGCTTTATATCCCTTGGTCTAGTGGAATACCCCAAACTATTTCATTTGTAAGTGTTTTTGTATTCATGATTCTCAAGGTGAAGTTCTATTGAGAATCTAGGAATATAGTTTAGGATTAGGTAGCCTGGGAGGCTGAGGCAGGAGAATAGCTTGAACCCGGGAGGCAGAGGTTGTGGTGAGCCGAAATCGCGCCATTGCACTCCAGCCTGGGCAACAAGAGCGAAACTCCATCTCAAAAAATAACAATAAATAAAAAATACAAAAACATAAAAATTAGGTAGCCCATATTCACTCGAATCACTGTTTTCTCAATATTTATTTATATAAATAATTTTTTTCTGTAAGCACATCTGAGTGCATGATGTTTTTAGTTTGAAAGCAGTATTACTGAAAGACTGTCTTTAATCCTTCAGTATCACATATATTTTATAAGACATGGTTAGCCCAAGAATAAGTGCCTACACCTATTTCACAAGGAAGGACAGTCGTACGCAGTCATTTTCTGCTTGTGGTATTTCTCCAGCTGCTACTGCATCATCTTTTACACAGCTGGTTCCCTTCCCCAAGGTCTGAAGCTGACTAAGGGATATTTGAAATCAAGCAGCTAAAGCAGGGATTAAGCACCACTTGGCTTGGCTTCAAGTTCCATCAACATTTGATGGTAAGGAAAATAAAATCAAGGGTATTCACATAAATAAAAAGTGATTTGAATATTCTTAAACCACCAGAAATATTGCTTTATTCTGTAGCATTATATAAAGCACGTTTTCATAGATTACTGTTGCTTGGTATGTAAAAATCATACGAATTGCTTAACACCATTTCACTTTTATTTTCTTATCTTGTCTTTCAGTTGTTCACACCATCCCTTACTTTTCTAAAGTCGCCATTAATTGAAAAAAGTCGGGTTATATAAGGAGTGAACTTTTACTAAATTGTAACAAAATCTATGGAAAAAACACAAAGTTGTCATCACAGCAGATGTTCAATTTTTTGACTGTTACTAACTTTACATCTGTAAAATGATGTCAGGGACTTGTGCAATTCCATTACAAGCAAATTCTGGCTACTACTATTTATACTTTGAGCATTCCGATGGCTGATTGGAGTTGTTTTTCTAGGAGAGCAAATGCCCACTGAGTAGCTTATTTCTTTTTTTTTTTTAAATGGGGATTTAAATAAGCATAGATAATAAAATTAGATGACATTTATTGAATATTTATTAACTAAGCATTTATGTTATAAAAATGTATTATGCCCTTTAATCTTTACAACTTGATAGATAGGGGTCATTGCTCTCCCCATTTTCTAATGAAGAAGTTGCCTGAAATCACACAGATTGTGAGGAACTGATATTTGAACTCAAATTAGTCTGACTTCAGGGTTCAAAATCTAACCACTATACTAATCAGGAGAACTTTGACA
Source organism: Homo sapiens (assembly GCF_000001405.40). Classification (NCBI taxonomy): domain Eukaryota; kingdom Metazoa; phylum Chordata; class Mammalia; order Primates; family Hominidae; genus Homo; species Homo sapiens. The sequence continues at coordinate 14,921,280 of NC_000008.11, read as the reverse complement.
ACCTCATAGATCATTTTAGGTCTGAAGGAGAGGCATTGATGTGGAGATTTGAAAGTAGGAGCATTGTTTGGGGCTGCTCTTGGGAAGCTTTCTTAAGGGAATGCGGGAAGCTGAGTTGAGAAGATTCAGAGCTTGAAGCCTAATCCAATCGCAACAGTCCTCAACCACTCCACTGCAAGCTCTGAAGCTGGGATAGTTCTTTAGGATGGTCCCTCATGAAGATAAAAGGGTTGGACCTTTTTACCCTAAATCCAACACTATTGGATATGGGCTACACTACTGTGATCTTGGGTGAGATAGCTTCCTGCAGTCAAGGTCAATGTCTCAATGTTCTGAGCGTAGAAGCCACTATGCTGATGGCTGGGAAAATGATTGTTTCAATTCTGGTTCAGGCATGCGGTGCCCAGCACAGTGCCACTATAGCAATGCTATTACAAATAATTCTTAATGAAACCTCCCAGAATAAACTCTCAACTATCTATTTTAGAATGAGTTAAACAAATACAATTAGGTATAAATTAAGTATCCTAATGATAGTTAACTATATTAAAAGTAATTCCTGTTACAGTTTTAGGGAAAGTCTATAATATTTTTAAATCTCTCGTATCTCCATTTGTTCTTCCTTATTTAGTTTATATGGCTTAGGCATGTTAATAGCCTCCTCTATGATATCTTCTTAATCTGTTACCATCTTATCTTTTTTTCCTCAAATTCATCTTTGACTTACCCTCCAGTCTATGGAGCTGTCTTTGTATTGCTTCTCTCTAAATTATTATTATTTTTATTGGATGTGTGACTTCCTATGTTTTTATTATCCCAACTCCATTAAACATTTCGTCCCTTTAAATGCAGTCTTTGTAAGTGGCTCAGAACTTTTTGATAAAAACAGTGCATTTGAACAGGTTGTCTAGCTTTCTTTGTAAGGCAGACAGTGGTATCTGAAGTGACAGATTTGCTGGCATGTGATCCATGAATCATTAGCTGCCACTTTGAAATCTTATTATAGCACTACTTCAGTTTGGGTTATGATGATCTTCTAAGGCTCTTCTCCAGAGTGTCTGGCATCCTGTTCCACTAGGCAGCAATCCCAGCCCTCCACAGTGTCAGAAGCTAAAATGCACTCCAAGTTTTTGTTTCATTTGTTCAACTTGTAAATGATACAAAATTTACCCAAAGCAGCCCAGATAAATGGCAGTTAGTCTGATTATTTACCATTTACAGGCATTAGTTTCCTTATTTTTAGAAGTAGAAATATAAAATCTACTAAAAGGAGTATGGTGAGCCTGCATGCAACGATGTAAAAATAACATCGCAGTAATTATTGCTAATAGTTTTCTTTAAAACAAAACAAAACAAAACAAAAAAAACAGAGTCTCACTCTGTTACCCAGGCTGGAGTGCAGTGGCGTGATCTTGGCTCACTGCAACCTCTGCCTCCTGGGCTCAAGTGATTCTACTGCCCCAGTTTCCCGAGTAGCTGGGATTACAAGCGTGCACCACCATGCCTGGCTAATTTTTGTATTTTTAGCAGAGATGGGGTTTCACCATGTTGGCCAGTTTGGTCTCAAACTCCTGAACTCAAGTGATCTGCCTGCCTCGTCCTCCCAAAGTGCTGAGGTTACAGGCGTGAGCCATCGCACCCAGCTTGATTTTTAATAGATAGTACTACTGTCAAAATTACTATGGAGTAATATTAGTATCTTAATTGTTCAAATAGGAGTTGTATTTTAATTTTTATCATTTATGTGACTCTACTTATGTGCTCTTCAAGACGAGAGCAAAGAACAATATGTATCAAATTGACACTGGCATCTGAAATATTTTAATTGTATTTATTTTAAGAGGTGGAGTCTTGCTTTTTCATTCAGGCTAGAGTGCAGTGGTGCGATCTCGGCTCACTGTAACCTCCGCCTCCCGGGTTCTAGCAATTCTCCTGCTTCAGCCCCCTGAGTAGCTGGGATTATAGGCACATGCCACGACACCCAGCTAATTTCTTTTGTATTTTAGTAGAGAGGGGATTTCACCATGTTACCCAGGCTGATCTCAAACTCCTGAGCTCAGGCAATCCACCTGCCTCGGCCTCCCAAAGTGCGGGGGTTACAGGCTTGAGCCACCTCGCCTGGCCTTAATTGTATTTATTTAACAAGCATAAATATGACTAACATATGATATATAGTGTTATCAATAATTTTATTAACTAATTGAATCAACGCATCTTAAAAGGTGAGTATTGCTATTATCTCCACTGACATGATAAAAGGGTAAAGTCTTATCCAAGGTCACAGAGCTGGCACCTTGGGAGAGGTTTTGAAACCCCCCAGTCTTCCTTCAGGGTCTATGCTGTTAACCAAAACATATGCTGCCTTCAGACCGATTGATGATATTTATGTATCCATTCAGTTTTCAACATATTTTCAAAAACTGTATTTAGCTGCCTCTTGGCACCAAGCACATAGTGTATGCTGGTCTGCACTACTGTTCTTAGTTAAAATGAGGAAGGCTGATTCTCTGAAGATAACTTCAACTGAAGTCTTTTTCATTGCATGACCTCTTCAGAACAATAATGAAGACTTCCCCAAACATAGTAAGATACAAAATTATTGGTTGTTGAGTCAGAGGAGATAATCTTACAGAAAGTTTCAGTGAGAATGTAAAATACTAAGTTGTTTCTACTATAATGAATTACTCTCATTGATTGGCTACTGCATTATCATTTGTTTGTTTACACTCAAATATCCTTGGACTTCAAATGAGTATTGCCCTTTTCTAGTGAGTAGGAAGATCCTTCATATTAGAGGGCTTTGAGTTTATATAACAGCTGTGTAAAATTTGTTTAAAACCGAAATGATAAATTTTATTTAAAAACAATATTATGAGAGACCCCGAGAAAATTACCCCAGAAAGTTGTGTTTAATCCATGTGCTTCTTCATGAAGAAGAAAATGTTCTTAAATTCATACCACTTAGAAATCATGGACCTAGTTCTGAGAACTAGCAGGATGAGGTCAACAAGTGTAACCATGGTAATATAGATACTCTGCTGCTATATTTACTTCAAATTCAGCCGGTCTCATTGCCTTAATTCTCCGTTATAGGGATGACTAAAGAAAATGGAGAAGAAAGAAATACGAGGATATTCACCTCATTTTCCATCTTAAAAGATTGCTCAGTATCTTCTTGGATCTGAAGTATGAAAGTAGGCAATCATTTTTAACAGAAGTCTTGGCTTTGCTACTATCTCTATACTTGCCAAGAGGGCATTTTAAAAATAGATATGTCTTTCATATTTAAATAAAATAATAATAACAGGTGTAATAGCAACTAGCCTAATATTTTGCAGAACACCACTAAGGGTAACATGATGTAATATAACTGAAAACAGTCTGAAAGGTTAAAAGTCAAATATTATGCATTATCATTCCATATCTTATACTAACCTCCTAATTAATGATGTGAGAAAGGCACATGTGATATGGTACAAAATAGAAGACACGAAATCATTTAGTTTTTTTTCCAAATGAAGACAGAAAGCATACACAATGGAGAAAAATACTAGCTTTGAAAGACATAGTCTTTCCTTGCCCCATTATGAGTGGCCTGAAAACTTGTGTAGAAATAGGATGTAAAGTAAGTGATCTATTAACATAGATCAGAGTTGGCAGAGTCTGTGTTTGGTTGGTCAGTTTCTAATAAGAGGTTCTTTGCTGTGGATCAATAGACCACCATGAAATGTTGAAACTAATAGAAGAACTGAAAATTCAAATAAAGAATCCAATTGCAGTGTTATATTACTAGGAATAATTTAAACAGTCTCTCTTGCCCAGTAATTTTATTGATTAAACTGTAAGAGATTTGATTTAGGAATGAATTTGGCATTCAGGATCCCACAATAAATTTCCCTTCCACTTGGTTAAAGTTACGATATGAATAAATAAAAAGAGTAATCATAGGTCAGTTGCAAAAAAAATCTCTTGCTTAAATAGGCTAACTTGTTACTGGAATTTTCAACATTTAAAATATTACATTATTATTGTCCATAGAACACTGTATAAAATTAATTATAAGAATCAGATTGTGGTGAGCCTCCTTTTCCCTATAAAGCTGACAAATTATGATTGACAATTCAGGCCCTGGGGAATTTACCTGGCAATGTATATTTTGATTAGCTAATAGCTGTACCTGCAGAGTATACCAGGACATATTTTATCTAATGAGTCTGATGTATATGTCAAGCTGTCTGTTTGAAAAGCTGTGACTGTTTCTATTTCCAAAATTATATTACTTTATACAAAGTCATATTCATATTATGCTTTAAGGATGACTTTGAGTATGACTGTTTTTCTCTGACGCTGAGTAACAATATCAACCTAGCAGTAAATACAAAAAAAATTCATAAATAACAGAATAAACATTGTTTTTTTTAAAAAATAACTATGCGTCTATTTTTACAAAGTACCCAGCTGAATCCTTGGCTCTATTTACATACTCGTAAGTGTAGATTAATTCCACTTAGATGCATATGTGGGACTAGTTACACAATAACAGTTTTCTGTACAAAAAGAGGAACTTTACTCGTGTCTAGATTGACAAAGTGAAAACAAGATCTGGTGCCATCACACATAATGGAATCTTAGTTATAAAACTACAAAATATGAAGTGAAGTTGCTTTTTTGCCTTTAAAGGCAAGTTTGTTAACTTATATGGAGCTTACAAATAGGATCATTCACAATTGAGTACTGCCTTGCACCAGGTATGGTTTACTCATGTGGTAAGTGTTCTGCTAAATTTGGAGCATTCCTGAAAAAACAGCTACCACATTATCATATCTACATTTCTGCTATCTGATCTTACTTTTCAACGATTTCCCTTCTTTCTTCCATGCTATCTATGTCTATATGTGGTAAATATTTCTTTGTATTTGAGGTGCTGAAACTTCGGGCTTTCCTGAGTAAGAAATGTGATTTGGGTTTTCTGTGCTATATGTATATAATCTTCACAGCATGACTGCTGCTATGTTTGAGTTACACTTACATTATATAATCTTAAGGTAATAGATAGGAAATCAGAATTTTAGTAGAAATCTCACAGATTATTTGTTACTTACATATGTCTCCTAGAATGCATTTTTAAAACTGATTTAAAAAATTTATCTGCTACGCAAAAGGATTTCAATTCTTATATAGGTGGTACTACTGTTGTCTTACTCTGCAAACCTACATGACTTATATATTAACATATTCGTGTTTCAGTTGTCACTCTAAAACAAAATCTACTTGCAATTTTTAAAAGTCCCAACAAACTTTTTTAACAGTCTGCTGGAACACATGTTAAAATGGCTAACATTTACAAAAAATATTGAAACGGCTACTTTGCCTGGAGTATATACCCTGGGTTTCATTGTCTGTCACTGAGAAAGAATTCAGGACGCAGACACATGTGGGTGGGTTAAGGAGAGGAAAGTTTAATAGACAGAAGAACGGAGAGAGGAGAGCAATTCCTTTCCAGAGAGACACCTCCAAAAAAGCAGGGAGGCAGGGACCACAGCAGATTTTATAGGCAGGCTGGAGAAGGTGGTGTTTGATTTACTACGAAGGGAACACAGATTGGTTTGATCAGTGATGATGTTTACATAGCATGGGGAAGGCTGGTCGCCGTGCCCTAATCTTAACACAAATGGGCTTTCCAGTTGATCGGTGCCATCTTGTCTGCTTTTTACTCTACACGTGGCTGACAAAGAGGAGGGAAGATGGGGCCGCCATCTTGAACATGTCTAGGCCCTGGTTCCTTCTGGCATTCACCCGTGCAAGCTGAGAGCTTGCTTGTCTATGTCTGCAGCTTGATTTTACAAGCTGCTCATTGTTAGGAAACGATTTGGGGCTGCTTTTCATTAAAGAGAAAAGTCTTACCGAGGACTCCTAGTCCCTTACTTTCTCCCTAAGTGATTTCTTAACTCCTATATCAATATGACTAGGTTTTATTTCTAGAGTGCTTAATCTTCCAAGTTGAATTACCATAACAGCATATATACATGTTCAAATAGATTTCTTTCCTAATAAAGGCTTGATATTGAATTTACAGGTATATTTGTAAATTGTTATTTATCTAAATGCATGCCAACATTATATATATTTAAAACGGGAAGATATCCAGAGTTTTTGAATCTCTGAACTGTCTTCATGAAAGAGGGTAGAAAAAGCAGTATGAGAGTTATGAAAGAGCTTTTACTAGCTGAAAAAAAATATTTTTACTGGGGTAAGATACATAAATTAGATGTAGCAAAGATATGTCATGCTCATTGCCAAATGATGCCTCTCTCCGAATCCACCTTTTGCTTGCAAGGGTTTTTGCAGTGTTGGTGGCCAAATAAAAATGATCTGGGGGGATATTGGGCTGGCTCCCAGCAAAGGAGCAAACTCTTCTACATCGTGAGGCCTTCTGAAGTGCCTGCATAACAATCTTTCCCACAGTAGCTCTCCAGTGTACTGAAAGGATTAATGTGTTTTTCAGAAGTATACAAAGAAATGAATTGTATTTGTGGAACATCTGTTTTCTTCTGGATTTGCCTGCTTTTTGATAAGATTTTTGTAATAGCATTTGAAAGAACATTTTATAATTATTTTAAGTGCCTTTGTTATTTTATGTTTCTCCATTTAGATCTTGAATTATTTTCCTGATAGATGTTATTTGTAGAATGTATGGGCTATGACTAAAAGAACGCTCTTGATAAGCCTTTTTTAAATGCATTTTTTTTTCACTGTCTCTTACCTGCTTCCAAACGACCTTTTGCCAAATAGTATTTCTTTGTGGGCCACGAAACTCCAGCGATAGAGAAAATTCCTCTAACAGAGCATAAGAGTTTTCAGTGGTAACCAGGAGCATAAATACAGGATGATTAGAAAAAGCTACAGTTGTCATTGTGAGAAAGAATTAGGAGTAAAGTTGAGAGATGTACATACAAAAATGTGAATTAAAATATTTATGACGGTGATATCTTATTTTACTTTGTTTATTACATTAGTTAATTGACATTACACACTCTCTATATATATATACGCATACATATTTATATATATAAAATGATGTTTGTGTATAACTATATTTTATATATAGAGATATATATGGTTGCAGGTTATATAGTTTCTCTAAGTAAATTTTACCCTTTAGAAGTGTTTATTTCTGAGTAATCTCTCACACCTTTTAAAAAAGGATGTAATATAGATCATCTATATACATATGTATTTGTATTTTATAAACTGACTATTAAGAATGTGAATTTTGTGTGTTCTAAGCTAATTTTTTTTTATTATGCTACAAACTTGATTCTTTTTCTCTTCTAACATTTTTGAAAATTAGATCTTTCAGGGATTTCTCTGACAAATAGTTTTGCTTTTATCATTCTAATGACCAGAGAGCTGCATAGATTCTTCTGTTAAGCAACGTCACTTGGAAAACCTATGACTAAAGAAATATGTGCTGCCTTTCTTGCCTGGTGCCATTTTCCTACATTGATTTGTGACTGGTAATTTTCCAAAACCTGTTTTTATATAAATTTTTAAATGAACACAATCTTATCATTTATTAAATATATCCCACACATAATTTAAAATAACAGTTGCATAAAATAGATTTTTCTAAGGATCATGAAAATTAAATTAATGTATATTATGGTAGAAGAAAAGTCAGAAACACTAATCCGTTACAGACCTTTGTTGCAGAGACATCTTAACATAGTCTTCTAGGAAACAATAAACTTTTTAGGCCTACATAATAAAAGTTTATTATGAACAAAGATATTATGCTTTAAACAAATTATTGCTATATTTGGTACAAACATCTCATAGCTCTTATGGAAAAATGAATAGTGAATCTTTAAGAATGCAGTTTTCTCAAATTTATTTAACTTGACTCTCTAAGACCATATAGTTGTGAGAGCACAATTAAGACAGTGTTGTTCTGGATATTTAGATATGTAAGAGGGCAGTACACAGATACATATTTTTCTACACATTATCTGCATTTATTATATAATTACATTTCAATATGAAGTTCATGCAAATATGTCTTTGAATGTTATGTTAATATCAAAATTCTAAGGATATGCTGAATAATTAGGATGAGATTTTCTGTTTTTCATTCAGTGAGAATGTATAATTAAAAAGATATTTACCAATATTTGTACACCTTTTTAAATTTTTTTCTTTCTATTTATTCTACCACATTGGGCATATATATTTATGACAGCATGCATTATGAAAAGTTGTCATGATATTTTTATAAAATAGGACAAACAAAATTAATTACTAACTAAAACCAAACAAGAATGATTAAATAAAAGCGTGGCTACTCAATTTATTCTCTCACTGTGGAGTGTTAGTCTTTTCTTTTTCCAGTTAAGAATTGGAAGCAGATCAGTTGCAAGAAGACATGCTTGGTAACCTTCCAAAAGATAGAAAGATGTATTTCATTTCCTGTTGAGATACTGTTTAACTCAAAGTTTCATTTTTCATCAATTCTGGAAGCTTCTGCATTCTGGCAAAAGAGTGGTGCATCAAATTTCCGCCAAACTCTGTAGATATGCCATCATCTTTGACATTTTTATTTTGGCCTTCACAGGTGAATGGTGACTTTCAGAGTTTTGCTATGCTGTTCTATTCCTGACACTCATGGTGTGTGAGTTAGAAATATTGTTTGACAAGTAAGTAACCATGACAACTTGGAAACATCACTACTATATTCCATCTTATGTTGTCCTAATTTGATGTACACAATTTCTTTAAATGTTTATAAAATGATGCATTGGAAATAATCTTTATTCTAAATATGTATAGTTCTCAACATGTAGTATAAAGTAATATTTAATCATTTCTATGCTGAGGTAAGATGGATTTTTATTTTCTTCTCAGGAGACATTTTATAAATTGTGTCTATTGGGAAGTCTTTCCATATTGGAGATCTCTGTCATTTTGGGTAGGGCTCATTAAGCATTATAAAAACTACAAACCATAACTTTTTGCATTTGAGTCATTAAGTCAAGCCAGAGCAAGGTGGGTCTGTCTCTTAATGTGTGTAATCTTCTGAGAAGGACTTCCAAAGGTAATGTTTTCTTGTTGTATCTCTAGGGTCCATGTAAATTATTTGTTATTTAAAACACAATTTCATACATTTTATTGGGTGTTGGTGCTTACGTGTCTAGAAACAGAAACAAATAGGTGTAAATAAAATAGATGCAAATAGCTTACATAGCGTCAGTGCAGCTACTCTTCACCTTGAATATAGGGACAAAGAAACAGAAATAGTGTAAGCAGTAGTTTATTAGAATAGTACTAATATTTTAAAACCTGTTGACCTGTGCAAAATCCATTTATCATTGCAGTATAGAGATAAAATATTACTTATATTAATTTTTATTATTTAGACTTTCAAGGCTTTATTTGAATTTCCATGTAGAGATAAGATGTGTCTTGTTTCTGAACCTAATTAATACTTGAGGAAATAAATGAAAGGAATAGATTGAAAGAGGTAAAAATGGTAATCATATATTCATATATATAAATATTTTTAAACAAGCACTATTTTATGGTCCTAGGTGTGTACATTTCAAGATATATTCTCATTGTAACAAATTACTTCATTAATTAGTAAAGCACTCTGCAGCCAGATTTTATTATGGGAATTCAAGATACATTTCTCAGTGAAGTATTTATCATTTCTGAAATTTTATTTTTATAAAAATTGTATTTGGTTTTTAAATTAACTAGTGATTGGTAGCCCAGGTTTAGCTTTCTAGGATTATATGGCTGACACGAAGCTATATATTTTTTTCTTAGTTACCAAATACTTTCTTCAGTGTGCAGCTGCTCTTGATTCAATAGCTATTTAATGTCCTAGATTTCTTTTGATGCTGTCTTTTCCTAAGAAAAATAGGCATTGGTGTCTGCGTATTCCAAGGAAATATGGAGATCAGTAAATCAGTCAGAATCCGCTGATTTTGTTGGGATTTAGTAGACAGGAGGTAGATTTGAAATGTGAGTCATTAGGTTCTAATGAAGCCAGATGTGGACACCATGGTGATTACTTTGACAATTTGAATTACAGCCCTGCCACAGCCATTATCTGCTTACTCTGTTTTCTCTTAAAAGGTGAAAACTAAACCTGAGATGTGTCAGAGGAGTCAAAATGCTTCTTTTCTCATGAAGACAGTTTATAAAAATAGTAAAGCACATATGCAGAAGCATCCCTTTAATATATGACATTATACTCAAAGTAAGGATGTGTATTATTCGTGAAAAAATGAGTGATATGATTGTTAGAAGTGTGATAATTGTTCTGGGGAATAGATTGTAGAATATGTTTGTTAGTATATCTACTTTAAGGTCACTGATTAAGCTTATATATCTTCTAGGATGTATTCAACTTTTGCTTCTGAAAAAGCCATCTGGTTTTTAATAAGAATATGAATGTACAATATAAGCCAAGCTGAATAATTTCTTAAATGTATTATGAGGCATAAAATGACATCATTGTCTTCCTATTTTCATAATAGGTATAATAAAAATATATAAATTTGAAGAAATTTTGGGCAAAGTGCTTTAAAAGAATCAATAGCTCATTTTATTTTTACTTTACCGATGTTTTCTGTTAATGTCCATCATAAAATATCAGTGTATACCCAAAAAATGAACTAGAATTCTAGATTCAAATATTAAGAAAATATTAATGTTAAGAAAAATGGTTTATCAATACCAGCCAGAATTTTGGGAATGTTTTTAACAAATGTTTATGTACATTTAAAAAAAACAGATTTCAAGATTTACTAAATTTAAGATTTAATAAATTTAGTAAGATTTCAAATTTACTAAAAATAAGTTTTAGGTAAATGCTACAAACACTGAGTTAAGCCATTTTTAAGTTGTTTCCTGGTGTCCTTATGTATTAAATGGTACTGTGAGAGATGTTTAATAAATTTTAATTAACTGACTAAATATATATCAATGTGTATTGGTGAAAATCATTATAAATTAGAGAAATACTGTTTTAACCAACTGGGAATTATCCTTATCAAATTTAACAAATGATTAAATGAGTAGATGGAAGATATGTTACTGGTTTTGAAGATGGTACAAGCCTTTGAAGACTAAATAGGGTCATAAGTTTTATAGAATGCAACATCTCAAATAAGGTGAAATGTAATTATGATAAACTTACAGTTTTATATTTAGATAAGACAGCTTCTTATTAAAGCACAGGGTGGGGGACATAAGTGGCTAGATAGAGGCCAATGCATTAAAAATGGAGAGATTAACTGAAAAGTTCTCTTATGGGATGATAGAGTTAAATGGTTAAAATATAGTACAGTTTTTGGCTAAGCATAGAAATATGCTGTGCAAAATATGAGTTTCCACTATATAGCTACACTGGTCAAAGAACACCATGGAGAGTTGTTGGTTTCTGGATGACAGAATTGAGGGACACTTTTAACTAGTAGATGGACAAACCAGAGTGCTTTGAAGAGAATGAGGTATAATAAATTTTAAATAGCTGAATAAACATCTCCAAATTGGTGTTGATGCAAACCAGGCTGAGTTATTGGTTAGAACTATGCCTTATAATTAAAATTCCCATATTTCCAAACTAAAAATTTGACATATTATTTACTAAAAGACTTAAATATTTATGTTAAACTTATTGAAAGCCTAACAAATCATATTGATTTATAAAATTTACTAAAAAATAGTATGACGTAATATAAGACTTGGGAATGGTTAGCACAGATAAATCAGACACAGATAATTTAAGATAACCTCTTAAGATTTTAAAAGAAAAAGAAACAAAATTTATATAAAAAGGCAGAATTCTATTCAGTAAGAGAAATACGTTGTAACGTTAAAACACGAAATTAATTAAAGACAGTGAAGTTCACACCAAGAAAAATATGTAAACACTTCAAAAAAGGAATTATTTAAAAGGGATGTATTTGGCCAGGTAGACAACTGGATTTAGAGGATTTTTCGATAGCTTCACAATCTAACAAGTCATAATTTGAGGACAGGTGAATGCATGTAACAAGCCTCCTTTAATTTGGTCTCTGCTAATTGAAAATTATAGTAATTGATATAAGGAGTGGGCTGGATGTTAAAGTAAAATGATTAACTGAATGGATTAATAGTGTAAACTAGATGAGATACTTAATCAACTTGATGCACATGATTTGCAAACCTCTGCTTAATAATTTTGGAAAAATTGACTCATCATTAGAGTCCCGATTTTATGTCAAGCATTGTCCCAGGTGTTAGGAGAGAAATAATGACATAAAATACATAGGCATAATTATAGAGATAAGTTTAATCTGCAAGAAAAACATTTGGTGAACCTAATACAATGCACTTTGAAATTAAATAACAAACTATTCGTCGCATATAAATGCAGTAAGAATTCTAGGAATTCAGAATATCAGAAACTTTGTATCTCTGACATATTAATATTTTTTATAGTGAATTAGGTTCTCTGAATCTCTCTCTCTTTTTTTTTTTTTTTTTTTTGCAACGGTGACAGATCACCAGGCTGGAGTACAGTGGCCCGATCTCGGCTCACTGCAAGCTCCGCCTCCCAGGTTCCAGCGATTCTCCTGCCTCAGCCTCCTGAGTAGCTGGGATTACAGGTGCCTGTCACCACGCCCGGCTAATTTTTGTGTATTTAGTAGAAATGGGGTTTCACCATGTTGGTCAGGCTGGTCTCGAACTGCTGATCTCGTGATCCTCCCACCTGGGGCTCCCAAACTGCTGGGATTACAGGCGTGAGCCAGTGCACCTGGCCAGTTCTCTGAATCTTAACAAAAATCTGTAACTTGCCCATTTATCTATTTCTTTGTTTATTATACCCCTTGGTAGAATACAGTCTCATGGAGACTCTGCCATGTGCCTAGTGTCTGCTATACAATGGCCACTAGGTAAATATTTGTTGAATAATTGAACTTTTTCCCCTCATTTTCAAAACAAGGACCATACCTGTGTCTCCAAGTTTACTGAACATTTTGCGGACCAATTGAGGTAATTTAGATAAAAATGATTTAGAGAAATTTGCCATAATGCCTAAAAATATTATATAATTGTCACAAATTATTCCCATCAACTCATCAAAGAGACAGAAAAGGTTCTATTAACTACCTTTTTTGCCCTGACTTTAGATATGCTACATAAGTAACAAAACCAGAAATTTTTATTTTCAGTGGTTTCTATGTATCTGTTTCTGACCAAAAAGAAAAGAAAAAGCATACCAATTTCACATGATTCAACCTAATATGTAATTTTTCCTTGTTCAGACTGCCCTTTCTAAAATGCATTAGTTAATTATACTGTACTATTAATAACTATTCTTTCTCCTCAAATGGTTATTTGTTCTTGGTTGTATACATCCTAAATATTATTTTGGATGTACTTGGTATGTTTTAATAGTAGGGTTGAAATAGGTGGAATTAGCGCTTCTTTGCAGAAAAGTTAGTGAATTGTGGCTCATTTCTGTGCATGTAGCTTATATAGGTTGTAGTGTAGAGAGAGAGGGAAGACAACCCTAATGGACGCACTCAATTTTTATTCTTTATTTTATTTTTTGAGTCAGGGTCTTACTATGTTGCCCAGATTGGACTTGAACTTCTGGCCTCAAGCAACACTCCTACCTTGGCTTCCCAAAGTGCTGGGATCACTGTTGTCCAGCCTTTATTCTTTATTAAGAATAGTTAGTTATTGGAGGCATTTAGCTCCTCCAATAGTTGAAGCGGCACTTCTTAATAGTTAACTGAGGCTGGGAGCAGTGGCTTATGCCTGCAATTCTAGCACTTTGAGAGGCTGAGGCAGGAGGATCACTTGAGCCCAGGAGTTGGAGACTAACCTCGGCAAGATAGTGAGACATCATCTCAAAAAATAAAAATTATCCAGGCATAGTGGTGTGCCTGTAGTCCCAGCTACTCATGAGGCTGAGGTGAGAGGATCCCTTGAGGCCATAAGTACAAGGCTGCGGTGAGCCATGATTACGCCATTCTACTTCATCCTGAGTGACAGAGCAAGACTCTGTCCCAAAAAATAATAATGGGTAACTGTAAAACATATGAAACCCATTGAAAAAATAGTAGACTGTATCACAGAGGTGCCTGGATAAACTAAATTATCAGTTTATAGGCAAATTATTTACATTTCAGTGACCCAGTGACATGCATAAAACTAGCACCATGCTTTCAGGGAGAACAAAAATAAAAGTTTTATGGTAACATTTTGAGTTGTTTATGGGATATGATTTAAGGTTATTGAATTGTTATAAATTCTCTGACAGTGGCAGAAATATCACCTTTTTTAAAGTATATGTATTTGAAAATACTTTGACTCCATAACAATGCCATTGTCTAATTTATTAACTATGTAACTCTATCTGTGATATATACTCCTTAGAAAGAAATGATTTCTCTCATAAGAACCCAGTTCTTTTTCTAGCTCTAGCTCTTTTCTAGAGCTAATCAGGACTGTAAGCATCTCATTGTTGGTCTCCAGTTGATTTCTCAGAACTGTGTGTGCCTCACGCCAAGTTCTGTTGTTTGATCTTCATTCTTGTAAATCCTAGTTAGTTGATTTCAGTACTGGTGAGGGGTAAGTATAATATGGATTTAGTACAAATACCAAAGTGATTTGTTCTTTTCTAGAATGATGTTTCAAACATCTTAGAAGCCAAATATCTGTTTAAATTAAATTGTAAGTGGCAGCAGTTTACGTTTGCTTTGTAGAAAAGAAAAAATATATAAAACAATAATTTTAATTGTGGGTAACCTGCCATATCACTACAGAAGTTGAGAATTTTCCAGAGCGTGGTTTAAGAGCCATTGGTTCAGAATATACCTGGTGTCTTCCTGGACTTTTACTCTTTTGTAAGCTTTGCAGGTATTGGTTTAAACATAATCTCTTTTTAAGAGTATTCAAGAAGTAACATTTCTAAAATATTCATATTGTCTCAAGAATTATTGGACTACAAAGCTATTATGATCCTCATATTTTCCACAAACAGTTCCTTATATAAAACTCTAGGGAGCGTCTTCAAAATTAATGCAAGAATTAGCTCCTGCAGTATGTGTCCTAGAGAGTTAATCTTCTTAATATATAATTAGCCCCATGTTTAATTTATTTATCTCTTATATCTCAAATACGCAGCCTTTTGTCGATCTCAGTGAATGGCACAATATCAGCATCAATCTTTGAAAAGCCTTTCTTTTGGCTTTTGATATACTTTATATATTTGTAATTTTTTTAAAAAATATTTCAACCACATTCCTAACACTATATCTTCCTCATAGGTATATTCTTTATTTTATTTGTAGAGGTACTTCCAATATAAGTGTGTATATTTGTATACATAGGTGTATGTGTGTATATAAATATATATTGTTTTCCGTATGTGTTCAGTTTGTACGAATGGTTTTGAGTTTTAAATTTACCTTTTTTTTTTCTTATTTTGTCTCATTCAATGTTTAATTGAGTGTCTGTCTATGCTGCTGCCCATCTGGCCTATAGCTTCTGATGACATCTTTACCTATGTATATCTTCACTTACGTATTCCTCTACATGGATTCGGAGGTTGGGTACAACTATTTGACACTATGATAAACACTGTAATTAATTTAATCATAGAATAATTTTCCTAGTTTGTGTGTGGGCAGAGATTTTTCTCTGGTGCACTTTGAGAAATTTCTGAGTGCTAATTTGCACATGTACCCAGTTTTATCAAATACTGGAGATGGCGGTCCACATTGGCTCTCCAAGTTTCAATTCCAATGAGCAGTAAATGAGTGTCCTTAGTCTCTCTCTCTCGGACTTAGTATTATACTACCTGACTTTATTGTTTTCCTGGAAAGCGGTGTGATGTCATGTCGTAGTTTTCTTAATTTTTATTTATTGGAGTATTAATGAGGTGAAATATCCCTACCATTTACCATTACTGTCTTTTTAATCGGTTTTTCCTTTGTTCATTCTTTATAGCTTTTGTCTATTTTTTCCTATTGAGATTCCAGATTATTTTTTGAAATGATTAAGGAAGTGTTTGTTATATTTTAGATAGTAAAATCTTGTCGATTAACTTCATCTATGATGTCATTGATAAACAGAAGTATATACATTTGAAGAAATATAATTCATCAATTTTTCTCCTTATAATTTGTGACTGGGAAGTGAGTATAGGGTAGTGTCAAGAAATATTTTCCAAATGAAGGGCCCCAATAATATTGTCTTTTATAGTTTTATGATTTAATTTTTGTGTTAGGCAAGACTTAAGTTTTCATAATAACAAAGATACATTATATGAATACATATTGATAAAAGTAAGCTTTAATTTAAAACATAGGAGGAGAGTTGAAAGATAAAGAATGGTTATCTAAGGAAGAAATAATAATAAAACATCATAAAGGAATAAGATTATAGAGAAAATCTGTGACGACTTGTAGAAAAAAAGAATTACTGGCAAAAAGTGTAAAATAAATCAAAACCCAGATAGCCTTAGAACAGTAACATAGACTATCAAATCTAATTATAAAATATAGATAGAGAATATTTTCTAAGTAGAATGCTGTGTATGAATCTTATTGAGGAGAGAATCTCTTTCACTAAAACCCTCAATAAATTGTGCAGTTGGTGAAATTAAGAGCTCATCATGAATTTAATTTGGATATGAATACCATTTTACAGAGAGATTTTAAAATTTCCTTCAGAAATTATTTAATAATGAATTATTCAAGGTAAAATGCTTCTAGTTTACAGAAATAAGTTCGTATATTCTAGTTTACATAAAGGTAAAATTATGCTTCTAGTTTACAGAAATAAGTTCGTGTATTCTTTGATAATGAGATGTTTTGCGTGCTATATTGAACTGCGTCTAATCTTTTTTGGAAAGGATTGAGATGTTTAGGAATTACATTGATATTTATACCAAAACATTATGCTATCCTTTCTGTCCTTGAAAACAATGCTGTTTTCAGGAACGACCACAGGGATGGAGAAATCAAGCGTATTTTCCCAAAGGAAGAAGTTCAGGGGGAAGAATTTTCAGAGAAAGCTGTGAGCAGCAATTCAAGTTGCACTTTTTCCTCATGAAGTATATATTACTATATTTTAAGATAAACATATTTCATGAAAACCCCTAAGATGCATAATAATGCACGACTAGTATGAGGAAGACTATGATAGCTTTATCAACAAGTTAATACCTTATTTCCTTTAGTTGACTTTTAAAATTTTTTTGTAGCTCATCTAACATTATTGAATGGTCCACAATTTCCTGTTACGAAATATTACTAATCATGAGAAAAGAAGTATCTTGAGTTAATGTTTTAACCCTCTTAATGTAAAGCTTTCCTAAGGTTAATCTTCCCTAGATTTCTGTATATTTATTCTATTTAAATCCTCTTCACTTTAACCCAAAATCAGCAATATGTCTCCTTTCTTTCTAATGTTTCTGAATAATTTCCTGAACTGTTGAGATAATCACTCATACTCTGACTAGTATATAATGTACTCTGACTGTCCCTATACACTGCTCTTAAAAACTACACAATAAATAATACATAAGTCTCCAGTAATACATAAGACGTTCTTTCAAATTCTCAGTCTTCCAGGATAGTGTTCCTATTTCATAGAAGTGACTGAAACTTTTCTAATTTTTTCCAACCTAAAGGCTAATACCCATTTATCTGTTTGTCATCTTTCTGTGTTTTTACTTATTTATTCTTCAATAAATAGACTCAAATACTTAGAGAACACTTTAACAGTAACCCAGATAACCCATTTGCATTTACTTTTTTTGTTTTTTCAGGATTTCAAGATTTGAATGCTATTACAGACAAACCTAAGCCAGTATATTATTCATAATTATTAATTGTTTTAAATAATTACTGATATCTGTCAGCAGTTAGTGGTGAGGATCATAAAATTTCTCTGCTGCTGCATCTGTATTTAGTATGAGAGCAAGTCTCAGAAATAATGCTGTATCTACACTGTCATGTATTTGCCATTTGTCATGAGAATGTTTAAAAACATTTGCTTGATGAAATTTCAGTTCTGTGTCTTTGTGTGTATTCTGACCACTCATTATAGTCATTGAGGCAGATGATATAGTACTTTAGAGAAGGACTTAATTAAACTTACTGTAAGGAAACCAGAACCCTCTGCCTCGTTAACTGGATACAGAACAGTGGCATCGTCTCAGGAGCAAGAGAAGGGGCTTCAGAGCTATTTATATACTGTTAATTTAAGAGGGATGATACTTTAAACATATTTCCAGTCAATTCACATGTTTTGAAAATCACAGTTTTGCCAATACAAATCGTTTTTCTAACATTCCTTCTGTTAATCAGGGAGACGTATATTCATTAGAAATAAATATAACTAAAGTATTTATTATAGCAAAATTGAAAGTAGACTTCTGAGTAAATATTAGCTAACCACTATAGAGCATGTATTCCTGATTAAGGTAACTGACCTCCCCAGTAAACTCGAATATTTGTCTATGCTTAAGAATTGTAAAGAAAATTGCAGGAAATCATGTTTGTTTTGTGATATTTATATCTTTCTTTATCAAATTCAATGTCAGGACTAGGCTAATTTCAATAGACAACTTTCTGAAGAGGCTGGCATAGTATTCACCAAATCCCATATTCATGTTATGGTGAGTACAAAGGTATTCACCAAAACCAGAAAGATGCTCTTGCCATTTTAGTTGAATTTTGAGAAAGCAAGGTTTATATTTATGTTTAGGTTATATACCTAAACACATAGTTTCTGATGCTTGATTTTCCAGGCAAGGAAAATTCAGGCCCAGGGAATTCTTGGGCAAAAACTTCGGAGAGACAGAGGCATTGGATAATGCAAGAGATCACTCTGACCAAGTCGCAGGGGTCAAAATGATTGGAAATATTCCAAGTAATGCCTGATCAGCAGAGAGGATCAAACTGTAGAAGAAAAGATTAAGAACGGAAGACAAGAGAAACAAGTAAAAGACCAGAAACTCAAAACAGTAGATGGAACACAGGCAGAGAAGGAGCTTGACAAGGGATCTGGGTACGAGAGGTCCAGAATGAACCCTCCAGAAATGAAAAGTCTGGCTTTTGTTCGTGTTTCCCTTGTCCTACCAGAGCTAAGGAGTGAATCATTTACTCACCAAATTTGAGTGTAGGCATTTATGGAGCCAAATAGTTTGAAATAAAGTGTCCACTAAAATGTATAATAATTTGCATATTAAAATGGTTAATTACAATTAGTGATATGTTATACCAGTTAGTGAGTGATTTTGCCCCCTTGCCTAAGGCTGACTGTCAGCATTTGTTCTTGCTAGGTGATGTAAACAAGAATCAATTTCTCATGTTTTGTTTCCTGCTTTATTTTTACTTATGTATGTAGGATATTCTGTTTTCTTGTACAGTTGGTTTACATTAGCGTGACATTTCCTGCACATGAAACATACAAAAATAGATATTTTCTTGGTATAGTCTGTTAAGTCTGATTTGTAGGATACATTGTCATGTACGTTGCTTGACACAGCTTTAGGCATTTTTACCGAAAATATATGTAACTTTTTTACCCCAGAATGTGAGAAGGACTGTTTCCATATACAAAGGATATTTTACATAGACCAAGGATTTTTTCACCCGAAAATTTTCACCCCAAAATGTGTGAAGAACCTAACAGTCCTTCACACATTTTACAGATACAGCATCCTTTAAATAAAATTGCTATTGATATTTTTTCAATCTCAAATCAGATACATTTTTAGTAACAACTAAAAGTGCTGTACTGTGAAAGGAAAAACGTATACGCCTACGTTTTATTCTCTTAATGTATTGCCTGTTTGTCACTACATTGGCCAGGTCCAAACTGACCAATGACCTTGTGTGTGGTGACTCATTAGATGTGTTTGGGAGCTACTCCCATGCATAATGGACAGATGCCTTTCTGTTCCTTCAACTCATAATAAAACTGTGGTTACCAGTGAGTCATCACAGGATTTTATGGAGCAATTATTTCTTAAGTGTGCTCACCTAATTTAGGGTTCATTAAGGATAATAGAAGAGTCTCCCAACTAAAAGTTGCAATTTGATCTGAGATTTTACAGTCCATATGTATAATTAGATTGATATTTATGCCAGAAATGTGCCAAGTTTCAGAATAACAGGAGTTCAAGCTCTCTTCCTTTGAGTAAGCATTCTTTCCAAACAGAAATGATATGTTATTAGAATATCTTGGTATTAATAAATTTGATTATCAAACCTCAAAGCCTGAGCTATCTAGACTATCACAGTCCACAGAAATAAATACTTTATAGGTAGGGTTTGCAATTCAGAGTATAAAACTAGTAAATTAGAGTGCAAATTAATCAAAACATTTTAATTTTCAACATTTCTATAGTAGGCCAATATGGGAAATGCCTGTTTTTAAGGAAAGATTCTGAATTTTGGCTATGTTACCTTTGGAATTGTAGATAATAGTCAAAGATATTCATGCAATTTGCATCTTTATCTGACTTCAATAATAAAATACCTTTCAGATTTCGTAAACTGCAAATGAGAGGATATTCAACATGAGTTTCACTGATGTCTGAATTGAAATTAAACCTGGTATTCAGTCTATAATGACAGGTCTTGAAGGTTTTCGGTATTGATGATTCAACAGATATTTTGCATATGGGCTGGTAAGTAGAATCAGGGCTGTCATTCAGCTTGGACCCAGCGGTATAGTTGAGTTTGTTATTTAGGAGCCTGAATCCATTCTGCTGGGTCGGAGTTGATTTCGTTGGTTGATTTCTGTGCCATACAGGTTACAGAATACCGCTATTGGGTCCAAACTTCCTGCCCAAGAACTGACTGTGGGGTAGCTTTCAGCCTCACTCACTCAATGGATGCATGAAGAAATGGTAGAATCTAGAGCCGTTGGGGGTTTATCACATCATTCATTAGAAAAAATCATCCAATTGATTTTTAAATTTTACATTCTGACAGTACTTTTTGCCTTAAAGATATGCTCAGTATTTACTATTACCGTAAGCTGTTTATTTTAATTTTTTAAAAACTATTCCAGCCTGTGTAGCAAACCGCCCTTGTCTGTCTACAGTCAAGTGGATGTGATTTATACTGATAAAATTGTTATAGAAAGGTTTCAAAAATTACCGTAGGGGCTTGGGAGAGTTTATTATATTTATAAAATATCCAACTTCCACAGAACACTGGAGAAAAATCTGGTTCACTGAAAGGTCTCCTCTCAGAGAATGAGAATAACACCCCACGTTAAACCTTTTCACAGCAGGTACCCTCTGCTAGAACTACGTACAGGTCACCAGCTACTCACTTCATCTCTTAGCTGTTGGTACAATGTTTAAGCATTTTCCTCTCCTCCTCCTCTTCTTCTTCTTCTTCCTCCTCTTCCTTCCTCTCTCACTTCCTCCCTTCTTTCTTTTCACTTTTCTCCCTTCCTGTATTCCTCCCTCTGTCTTTTCTCCCTTCTCTCCTTCCATCCTCATTTTGAGGTATAGGCTGGTATATTCTTCTACCCTCCTCTCTCCCATTTAACCTCCCGAGGTCAAAAGAACCTGATTGTATTACTTAAACCAATATGCCTTCGGGATCAGGTAGTGAACCTAGCACAGCAATTTACAACCTGGAGCCTCCAAGCATGGGGAAGCTTTGCCTGTGCAGTGGGAAGTGTGAAGGGCATTCCTTTTCCAGCCTGCCTGGCAAACCTCCCTAGTCTGTTGAGGAAATGGCTACTCATGTTCAAAGTTTAGCAACTTTGTAGCACCTTCTCTAAATCACATTCTGTGCTTCTATTTTTGTAATTTAACATTAGTTTTTGGCAAGTAGACTATAAAATCTTTAAGGTCAGAATAGTCTCATTCATTTCATGTATCTTCATGTGTTAACAGTTGTTGTACAAATATTGGACAGATGGAAGAAGAGAGGGAGGGAAGTGGGAAATAAGGGAGGAAGAAAGGAAGAAGGGATTGCCGGCAAGGAGATCTTAAATTGCAAGTTAATAAAGTGGATATGAGATTTACAAAATACTTTCACCCACAGTTTTTCCTAAAATATATGTTCATTGCCACAAATTGACATTATGTAAAGGGTCTTGATAAACTATGATCAAGGCAGCTATTATGCGATTGTCCTCAATTCCAGGAAAAAAAAATTACAGTTCCTTTTTAAGGAAAACGACTTCTTAAAAAAAAGTGAAACTCTAACACGGTAAAAAGTTCAATATTCAAAAAGTGAATCATCTTGGAAACTTTTAAAAAATTATTTTACATTGTCTTCACTATCATGGATTTATTTGTTGATTTTGAAAATTCTGAAATATATTTTCTCAGAACAATTTTCCTCTCTAAACCCCAGCTCAGTTATTCAACTACCTTTATAATATCCTCACACAATGCATACAATATAGAGACATCTTGAACAGAAGGTGGCACTCACTGAATTATTCTTTTATATTTCCAAATCTTATCTCCAACTAGTATTCTCTATCTTGAAAACTAGCACCTTTGCTTGCTCTTTCAAACCAGACACCAGGAAATTATTCTTAAACTTGACTCTTCTCATCTCAGATATAATCCATTATCAAATCCTTTCGATTCTCGCTTATATATATTCTCAAATCTTTTCACTTCTATTCCTGTCACCCAAGTCCAATAACCATCTTTCCCATTATTCTTGCTTTTACCAATTTATTCTTCATGCTGAAACTGAAAGAATATTTTAAGAACACAACCTAACCATATCAGTCCCTGGCCCAATATCTTCTCAGAATAAAGTGCCAAATTCTTACCTGTGACCCTCCCAACCTCTGCAGCAGGCCGCCTTACAACGCATTTCCCATCACACCCAGAGGTTCAGCGGCAGCCTCGGCTGTTTCTCACATCGCTGCACCCTGGCACAGGCTGTTGACATTGCATAGCTTTGCCTTCCTTTCACTCTTTGCCTGGATCTTTCCTCCTCCTTTAAACACATCTTAGAAATTGCTTCTGGCCGCATATGGTGGCTCACACCTGTAGTTCCTATGCTTTGGGAGGTTGAGGTGGGAGGATCTCTTGAGTACAGGAGTTTGAGACCAGCCTGGGCAATGTAATGAGACCTGTCTCTGCAAAAAATGTTGATTCTTTTTTTTTTTTAAGTTTATAATAAAAGTTGTTTTCTCAGAGTTCCTTATTGGATGGCCCAGTATAAACATACTAAACACATCTGTTCGTGAATTGTAAATCAACTATAAAATAATAATTTTAAAATGTCTTTCTTCACCACTAAAATACAAGCCTTATTAGGGTAGGGGATACATCTCTTTTGAAAATGCCTCTATCCCTTAATGCCTGGATAGTGCCTTCTACATAGGAAGTATTCAAGTGTTTCCTGAGTGATTGGTAGAAAGGGTATAAACTATGCACAGAATGACAGGAGGGGACTTCACAGTTGATGTTTGTGAATCAGATATTTCTAAGGATAGAGACATCACACATGCTAGGATGTTTTGGAAAAGATGAGAATGGCCATTTGTTGATATAATACAGTTGCAAGAACGTAAAGAGTTTAGTATCATGCTAGTATAGTCTATGCAGGGACATATGAATTATGCCTTATGATCTCCAGGGACTTCATTATGATCTATAGCTGTGACTAATTCACATTTAAAATAGAAAAGGCACTGACACTAGACCTGTACAATGATTAGACTGAGGGTGCAATTTGGATGCCTTCCTCACCATTGACATGTTGAAAAGGGAAAGAATCCTGTGAGAACAGAAGAGCCAAACCGTCCAGAACTACAAGACATTGATCCAAAGAAACTCGGCATCAAGTTTAAGAGGAAGGGCTAAACGTTACAAGCCATCCTAGTGGGATACTCAGTATAATAGGTTGTTTCTAAATGTTATTTCTTAAGCAGTGCTTTCACTTTTTGCCTTTTATCAGATGGGAACTTTCTAGAGAAGACCAGATATTAATTTTATTAATAGTTTATTATATACGTAATTATTAATTATATTCACCAACCATTTCCTTTGAGACAGGCATTAGATTAATTAAAATACCTTTACATGATTCTCTCATTTATTTCTTTTAATAACACTATCAAGCTAATAATTATTTCCTTTTTGCAGATGTGAAAAGCAAGGACTAGGGAGGTTAAGAAAGTCAGCCAGGGCCAGGCACGGTGGCTCACGCCTGTAATCCCATCACTTTGGGAGGCTGAGGCAGGTGAATCATGAGGTCAGGAGTTCGAGACCAGCCTGACCAATGTGGTGAAGCCCATCTCTACTAAAAATACCAAAAAAATTAGTTGGGCCTGGTGGCGCTCACCTGTAATCCCAGCTACTCAGGAGGGCTGAGGCGGGAGAATCGCTTCAACCCAGGAGGCGGAGGTTGCAGTGAGCCGAGTTCACACCACTGCACTCCAGAGCCTGGGTGACAGAGCAAGACTCTGTGTCAAAAAAAGAAAAAAAAAGTCAGCCAGGTGTGGTGGCCCACGCCTGTAATCCCAGCACTTTGGGAGGCCGAGGCAGGTTTATCACTGGAGGTCAGGAGTTCGAGACTACCTTGACCAACATGGTGAAACCCCGTCTCTCCTGAAAATACGGAAATTAGCCAGGTGTGGTGGAGGACACCTGTAATCCCAGCTACCTAGGAGGCTGCAGCAGAAGAATCACTGGAACCTGAGAGGTGGAGTTTGCAGTGAGCCGAGATCATGCCGCTGCACTCAAGCTTGGATGACAGGGTGAAGCTCTGTCTCAAAATAATCATAATAATGATAATAATAGTAAAATAAATAAATAAATAAATAAATAAAAGTCTTCCATCATGAGTCAACATGAAATGTAGAATCATTATTTGCCCCCAGTAACTCTGCCTGACACCAGAGTCAGTGCCATTAGGCATTATGTTTAACTTCTACATATTTGAGGGTAAGAGAGAGGATCTTGCACACCTTCTTTCCCCAGATATCTTTCATTTGAAGTTAACAGGGGCAACTAAAAAGCATATCCTCTTTCTTGAAAGTCAGCTTTCCCGGATGAGAGGAAGAGAATTAACAATGTGACCAAAATAAAAGAAAATGACCAAAATAAGACAAAAATGTAACTCACCTACCCATAGCAGTTTCTTCACTTTCTATTTTTGGGAATGCAGAAAACTAGTTGATTTTAATGACCTGTAATTTTAATTTATATTGTTAGCAAGCATGGGCTGGTCCAAAGATCTAAGTAGAGATTGGACTGAGGGAATGGTTTGCCTTACCAGGTAGTGTTCACCTGGGATGTACGTATTTTTAATGCAAACATTTTACTAAAGTGAGTCTCAACCCTATATACACATTATAAATACCAGAAGAACTTCTAATAAATAAAATATCCCATTTCTACCCTACATAGATCAATTAGAATCTCCAGCAGTGAGGCTCAGCATTAGATATTTTAAAAAGCTTCTTAGGCTATTCCAGTGTGTAGCTTGGGCTGGGAACCACTGCATCTACATTTGCAATTTGCTTTTCGAGACTTATCACACATTCGAAAAGAACATAGCAAAGTTCCTGGCACACAGTAATATTTTAGTAGAAGTTAAAAATTATTAATATTATTAAGCAAGTCCCTTGGCTTTTATTTTTGTATTTTGTTCTGTTATGAAGAGGTAATACCACTTACATCTTCTTTGATCTTCCAGATTCAAAATAAGGTTTTCTATCAGTCCTTATGGATTTGGGGGGAGTGGGGAATGTTATAATAAGGCTTTAATCTCATCTTTGAATTTCTTATCACACTAATAAAACAGCTGATAAGATTTCCAGGAGAGTAGAAATGTTATGTATCACCCCCAAAAAAACACACACAGATGTGCATTGGTAATTGTGTCTTAGGTACTGTCCTGGTTACTTTAATTATTTAACTCATTCGATCTTCACAGCTATTCAATTTTGGCCCCATTTAAGAGATGAGTACACTAACAATCAGAAGAATTAGGTAATGTACCCAAGATTACATGGCAGAGGTAGGATTTGAACCCAAGTAACCACCACACCAAATGACACAACTAGTTGGCAACAACTGTTATTAATAAAATCAATAATTATTAACTTACTAAACGATTAATTGTATAAATTAAGAGCAAGTACATATTTCCTTAGTTTAATTCTATGTAGCAACTTCAACTGAAACCAAAATTATAGATCATTCATGTTATTCCTAATACAACTGAAGTAAAGTAATATATTATTACCCTGGACCCCCAAACTTTAGCATTATGTATGGAAGATATAAAGATTTTTTTGCATTTAGCATCCACTTGTTTTTCGGTCCTCAGTTTCATAAATCAAATTTTTTAATATAGTTTTCCTTCATTCTGTAGCATTTGAATTGTTTGTGTCTCCTGCAGAAACTCTGAGGAGAAGTAACTTGCTTGTGTTTGGGATTGATTCTAAGAAGCTAGGGAGGGTGTTATTTTATATTCATTTATTTATTCACTTTTTTTTGTAGTTTATAACAAAAAGAAGACCGACATTTTTACCTGAAGTAGTTTCTAAAGACAACAAAGCTTTTATTTCATTTGACCATATTTGAGAACTTTCTTTTGGTTCATCTGAAAATTTAAAAGATTGCCCAGTGAGATCAATTATTTCTTCCTCGGGGTATGAAAAACTGTGTCTTCAGTGTGAGAGGCCCAGTGATCATCTGAAGCAAAGATAAGCTCCTGTTCATTGTGACCTGAAGCAAAGACCCTTGGGGAGCAAATTTGAAGAGTCCTTGTCCATTTCTGTCTAGAGCGATCACTAAGGGGATACTGACAGATTTCTTTTAAGTAATGTAAAAGCAAAGTCAAGCTTTTCCTTTCACTTTGCACCATTGACATTCAATTATCTTTGCCCAGTGGAAATAAATTTTCTAATGACAGATGTGCTTTATATATTTTAGAAGTGTGCTCTTCAAAAGTCAACTGAGAGAGGTTATGGGAGAACCATTCATTAACTATAGTTGCTTAACTTAATTCGGAAAGCAGTTCTTTTTTGAAAGCTAACACAATTGAAAAAAAAATAACAGCAAAGTTTAAGTACTATGAGGCAGTTGCACATCTTCTGTATTTAGTGAATATTTTATATTAAGATCTTAAAACTCAGATGCATGTCATTAATTAAAGCTTGATAAATCAATGCCAATTAATTAAATATTTCTTATATTTTCTGTGAAGGGACTTGAGTCTCATTTAAAGGAAAAAAGCCATTCACCAGTCATTTTGATATAGATATCACTTCTGCCCTGGGTTAAAAAGTGTTACAAACAGCATAGAATTTAGAATTGAGGAAACTGTCATATGCTCTAATAATAAAGCTGAATAAAGCCAAAGTTACTAAGTAAAGTTAGTACTTTAGACTTTTGACATCTTAGAAAAATCCTAATGTCTTGTAAAGAAGTGATTATTAGTGATGTTTCCTTTTATACTAACAAAAATGGGGACATAAAATTGTTTAACATGTTGTTTAAGAGTCTCTGTGACTTTGGTAGGCAAGTTATTATATTTTTCAGCATTAAAGCCATGAGCGCTTATCAGCATAGTTCATAGTGTCTGTTGTGTGAGACACAGTATTGAATCCCTGATAAATGACAGCATTATTTATAAAGCTTTATGAGAAATTCCTAAAATTATGGCGATCAGAGCATAATAAGCTGGTTGTTAATTATTCACAGTCTAGCATACATACATTAAAATATAATTCTACGTCCCCTGAAAAGAGAAATCCAATTTGTCACTTTTTTGGCCTCTATTAATTCCCATTACTGTTGTAAAAAATTACCACAAAGTTATTGACTTAAAACACCTTATATTTATTACCTTATCATTTTATAGGCCAGAAGTTTGACGTGGCTCTCATCGGACTAGATTTAAGGTGATGGCAGGGCTGTTTTCTTTCTGGAGATTGTAGGAGAGAGTGTATTTCCTTCACTTTTCTGGCTTCTAAGAGCTCCCCACATTCCTTTGCTTTTAGCCTCCTTCCTCCATCTTTAAAATGAGCAATGTAGCATCTCTCTGACCCTACTCTTGTAGTCCATCTCTTTCTGTGAACCCCAACTGGAAAGATTCTTCACTTCTCAGGACCCATGTGATTGGATGGGGCCTGCCAGGATACTCCAGCAGAACTTCCCAGTCTCATGGACCCTCACTTAATCAAATATGCAAAGTCCCTCTCGGCAAGTTAGGCAACACATTCACAGGGTTAGGATGTAGACGTCTGTCATTCTTCTGCCTACCATATGCTCTGTATGGAAGAATAACTACATCATGACTGGCCCTTGTTTTAGTAGTTTTTGTTTCTGGTGTGCAAACTTCTTGGTCTAAGCAGTGCCCAATCATATCCTGATTTTAGAACCATAGAATGATAGATTTGGATGAGAACATAGAGATCATATAGTTCAAACCTTCTATTTTAAGAGTGAAATGGGTACAATCCACCAGCAAAAGCAAGTGATACATGGAAATTAATTATTTAATGGTGATGACCATGTTTCCTAATTTGCTATTATACTGTTAAAAAGTGTTGATCATAATTTTTATTTACTTAGTTCCATGGAAGTTTGATGTATAAACAATCCTTATTTTTTCTTGCATATTTATTGTTCTATCAACATGTGTAAAATTTAATGATGTATTAATATATCAAATAATAAACTATTATTAAAACATTTAACTTTGGTTTTACCCAAAAAAAGGAACAGTTAATGTTGGCTTTATCCAAAGAGACGTGATGCTATAAATTTTTCCTGCTTGCTAGAATTTCCAGACTATTTCTTTTTAAATGTTACAGAGTTCCTTTATCACAGTCGTATCTCACAGAGATCAGTGACACAGAATAGATAGCTTTTATTTCAGTGCAGTAAGCTCACATTTACTTACATATGAGCATCACGCTTTTGAGTGACAGGAATATCAGCAGGTGGAATGAGGTATGTTGCGATATCCCCTACACTCAGCAGATATATCCTGATGGCACATGTTACATTACCTGAAGGCCTAGGGCGTGTTTGGTAATTGGGCCTAATAAAGTAAAGTGACTTGAGATAGCAAGTAAGCAGTCTTT
This sequence comes from Homo sapiens, assembly GCF_000001405.40. Classification (NCBI taxonomy): domain Eukaryota; kingdom Metazoa; phylum Chordata; class Mammalia; order Primates; family Hominidae; genus Homo; species Homo sapiens. The sequence continues at coordinate 14,892,165 of NC_000008.11, read as the reverse complement.
CAGGAGTTCTGAAATTGTATGGAAGCCATAATGTAAAATGATGTACAACTACATACGTAATAAATTGTGATTGTAAATATAAGCATATCTTAGATATATTCCAGGTTCAGTGCCAGCCCACTGCATTAAAGCAAGTCACCCGAATTTGTTGGTTGCCCAGTGCATGTAAAAGTTACGTTTGCATTATGTGATGTCTGTTAAGTGTGCAATAGTATTATGTCTAAACATATACATACCATAATTTTAAAAAATTACTTTATTGCTAATGACCATCTGAGCCTTCAGTGAGCTGTAATATTTTTGCTTGTGGAGGATATTGTCTGCATGTTAAGATGCTGACTGATGAGGGTGATGGTTGCTAAAGAGTGAGGTAGCCGTGGCAACGGCTTAAAATAAGACAATAAAGTCTGCTGCATTGATTGACTCTTCCTTTTACCAAAGATTTCTCTGTAGCATGCTCTCCGTTTGATAGCATTTTGCTCACAGTAGAACTTCTTTTAAAATTGGAGTCATTCCTCTCCAGACCTCCCTCTGCTTTATCAGCTAAGTTTGTGGAATATTCTGAATCCTTTGTTGTCATTTTAACAATGTTCACATCATCTTCACTAGGAGTAGATTATATGCCTAGATACCACTTTCTTTGCTCATCCATAAGAAGTAACTCATTATCCTAATGTTTTATCCTGAGACTGTAGCAATTCAGTCACATCTTCAGGCTCTACTTCTAATTCTAGTTATTTTGCATTTTCTACCTCCTCTGCAGTGACTCTCTCCACTGAAGTCTTGAACCTCTCAAAGTCGTCCATGACTGCTGGAATCAACTTCTTTCAAACTTCTGTTAATGTTTCTATTTTGACCTCCTTTCATGAATCATGGATCTTCTTCACAGTACTGAGAATGGCAAATCCTTTCCAGAAGGTTTTCAGTTTACTATGCCCAGATTCATCAGAGGAATTACTATCTGTGACAACTATAGCCTTACAAAATGTTTTCCTTAAATCAGGCTTCAATGTGGAAATTATTCCTTGATCCATGGGCTGCACAAGGGAGGTTCTTCTTGCAGGCATGGAAACATTAATCTCCTTGTGTATCTCCAGGCCTTTTGGTTGATTAGGTGCATTGTCAATAAGCAGGAATGTTTAGAAAGGAATCTTGTTTTTCTCAGGAATAGGTCTCAATAGAGGGCTTAAACTATTCAGTAAACCATGCTATAAACAGAAGTGCTGCTATCAGGCTTTGTTTTTCCATTTCTAGAGCACAGGCAGAGTGGATTTAGCATAATTCTGAAGAGCCTGAGGATTTTGGAAATGGTAAATGAGCATTGCCTAAAACTTAAAGTAATCAGCTGCATGAATACCTAACAAGATAGCCTGTCCTTTGAAGCTTAGAGGCCAAGCATTGACTCTCCTCTTTGGCTATGAAAGTCTTAAATGGCATCTTCTACCAATGGAAGGCAATTTCATCTATGTTGAAAACCTGTCAATAAAAATAGCCACTTTCATCAATTATCCTCACTAGATCTTCTGGATAGCTTACTGCAGTGTCTACTTCAGCACTTGCTGCTTTGCCTTGCACTTTCAGGTTATGGGGATGGTTTCTTTCCTTAAACCTCATGAACCAACTTATTCTAGCTTCAAACTTTTCTTGTTGAGCTTCCTCACCTCTCTCAGTCTTCATAGAATTGCAGAGTCAGGGCTTTGCACTTGAATAGGCTTTCGCTTAGGGGAGTGTTGGGGCTGATTTCATCCATCTAGACCACTAAAGCTGTCTCTATATCAAAAATAAGGCTGTTTCACTTTCTTACCATTTATGTTTTCACTAGAGTAACACTTTTAATTTCCTTCAAGAACTTTTTCTTTTCTTTCGTTTCTTTCCTTCCTTTCGTTTCTTTCCTTCCTTTCCTTCCTTTTCCTTTCTCTCTTTCTCTCTCTCTTTCTTTCTTTCTTTTTTTGATGGAGTCTTGTTCTGTCGCCCAGGCTGGAGTGCAGTGGTGCAATCTCTGCTCACTGCAACTTCCGCCTCCCACGTTGAAGCGATTCACCTGCCTCAGCCTCCCGAGTAGCTGGGACTATGGGTGCCCACGACCATGCCCGGCTAATTTTTGTATTTTTAGTAGAGACGGAGTTTCACCATATTGGCCAGGCTGGTCTCAAACTCCTGACCTTGTGATCTGCCTGCCTTGGCCTCCCTTGGTGCAGGAGGCCTCATTTAGGCCTGCTTTCAACAGGTCTTCCTCATAAGGCTTAATCATTTCTAGCTCTTTATTTAAAGTGAGAGATGTGTGACACTTCCTTTCACTTAGAGGCCATTATATAGGTTATGAATTGACCAAATTTCAATATCGTGACTTGCATATTTAAAATATGCAATATTGTAAAATAAAATATATTTAAAATATGCAAGCAGTTATTTTAAATACACAAAATATCTATATTTTGTGTATTTAAAATAACTACATTAATAGTATATGTTAATATGTTCAAATACATAATAACATATTTGTGAACATTTTCACAAATTTTTTTGATCCATGTTTACTTCAAAAATATGTAATACACAGGGCTGGTGTTATTGTCATCATTTTATAGATAAGAATTTTGAGTCCAAGTCAAGTTACTTGCCCAACTCTTCTAACCCTCAACCACCCTCCAGCTTTCTGTGTCTTATTAGTTTACACATATGAAGTGTGATGTCAACTTAATACATTAATATAACATGAATTGCACATCCTGTTTCAGGATTATCTAATTAGGCGTTTTATTCTCAATACAAAATTAAGGTTCAGAGTATATTACTTGAGCACAATTTTTTAAATACAGGTTGAAGTAAAGTACTTTTTACAGGATTTTTATCTATCTACATTTTTTTTTTTTGGTCAGTCTTCCCTAAATAAAGCTAAGCTTGAAGAAAGAAAGCTGAGAGGGTGGAATTCAAAAATAGTTTCTTGCCTCAAGCACCACACATTGATATGATGATGATATATTGTACTGTTGCCATTTTTTCACTGAATCAGAGGTGGTAGGAAATTAAATGGTTTAAACTGCAGCAGAAGAATATATGTTAGATTCCAGGAGTATTATGCCAATTATAACCATTCTAAGGAAAGTTATTGGGGTGAAGGAAAGGAATTGGAGAAACAAAATACAATGTTACTTTGTGTAGGTTTTGAAAATTGGCAAATGTGCTAGATAATATTTTGGATCTTATTAAGTGATTTATTTGAAATATGCACCAAGTTTTATGAAAGAGTACAATTCTTGTAGCAGTGTACCCATATCATTAAAGTAATATTTTAAGCCATATTTATTACAACCTGTTGAAAAATCTGTGTGAAAAAATAATGTTTACTTCACAATAAAACTTACATATTTTTGAGAAAAACAAATGAATGTATATAGACAATGTGTTTCAGTAGCAGATCAAGGCATTATGCCTTATAAAATGGAATGAAATTGATATTTTAATGTTCTTTTGCTTCATATAAACAATGAGACAATTTAATATACTAAAGAATTACTTATCTGAAAGGAGTCAATATTTTCTTTGGATCTTACGTTAATGATTTCTAAGGATTTTTCTTATAAACTTTCAATGTCTTTCAAGAATACAATAAGGACTTACATTGTTTCTTGCTTATTTCTTTGTTCATTGTTGCTCATGATACGATTATGTATACTTTCTTTCTATATTCTTTCACTTCTTTTCCTGCATTCTACATTGCTTTGATCAGGCAATTCTTTGAAATCATAGTCACGGTTCAAGTGCAAGAGGGTTATTAAAAGATGGCAAAGCTTCTCACGTATGGCCCTAATAAATAAAATAAGAGCTAGAGATGGTTATGAAATCATGGTTGGCAACAGAATATCTTTATGCATCCCTGTTCATCAGCTCAATCTCTTACTCCACCCATGAGACGGTGCCCTGCAATCTTAGCCATCTTTTGTCATTTAAGGATAAAGGTCACTACTATGTGTATTGGTCTTTTGCTTTTTTGGTGTATTGCTTTTTTGAAAAAGTATGTGATGCTCAGTTTATATTCTTTGTCTACTTTTTTATTTTATTACATCTTGACAAATTATATATATTTAGGGGGCACAGAGTGACGTTGTGATAGATGTATACAATGTGGAATGACTGAATTAAGCTAATCAACACATCTATCACCTCAAATACTTATCATTTATCCCTCCTATTGAACTGTAACTTTGTACCCTTTGAGCAACATCTTCCTATTTCCCTCAGATCCCAGTTTCTGGTAAACACAATGGGATACAACTCAGCCTTAGGAAAGAAGGAAATTCTGTCTTTTGCAACTATATGGATGAATCTGGAGTATATTAGGGAAAATGAGATAAGCCAGGCACATAAATACAAATATTGCGTGTCTATTTTCTTAAGGGATTTCATACATTTCTAGTGAGTTTATTTAACCTTTAAGTATTCAGTTATTAACTCTTTCCTGTCATATTGCTACAGCTGCTATGTTCATTATTGTTTACATTTTCCTCTAACCTGCATCTAGTTATCAAAATTATTCATAGTTTTTATATGATTGTGTATGTGTGTTTATGTATATGTATATGTATAGCTATGTATGTGTATAGATATATTTATAGGTTTTGCTATTTTTGATGGAATGTTTTCATTTTAGTATTTAACCCAATAATATCCTTACCAGTAATCAAATTAATGCAGAATGAAGGCCTAAAAATATATGCATCTAGTTTTTTCTCTTTACATTAGCATACCTAAAGATGTAAAATGATAATGCAGTCAGAAAAATTGGCACAGTGTTTTAGGAAAATAATTTATATGTATGAATCAAGTTAATCCAATGAATATTGGAGTCAATGTTGACTGACTCCATATATAGTTATCCATGGAAAGCAAATGACAAAAATATGAATAAGGATATCTGCATGAGAATGTTTTAGTTTAAATATAATCTCTATGATGAGGACCCTAAAATTTATATCTCCAGTGAAGACTTCTCCTTTGAATCCAGACTTGTATATTTGTCTGTCTGTTTGGCATTTCCACTTAGATATCCAACATAAGGATGTGGAGAATGATACAGTCTTGGCCCTCCTTCAACCTGTTCCTCTTGCAATCTGCCCCATCTCACTAAATGGCATCACCTTTCTTCCAGCTGCTTAAGCCAAAACTCTGACGTCATCGTTGACCTCTTGATTCTCTTACCCCCCACTGTAATCTAATAATACATTCAGAATTTCTCCCACCTCCACTGCAGTACTCTGCCCTAGGTCATTATGCCGTTACTTCTTTTATTGCAGTAGCCTCTCAACTTGCATCCTGGGTGCCAACTTGCCCCTTTAGTCTGCTCCACCCCAGAAGCCAAAGTGATCTAAAGACTCAAATTCTACCATGTTGCTACTCTTTTAAAACCTTAAAGTGATTTTCCCGTCTCATTTAGAGTAGAACAAGCCAAGCCATTGCAGTGAGTTTAAAAACCTACAAAATCTTCCCTCCTGGGATATGTCTGATCTCATCTCTTTCTTTTCTTCTCCTCAATCAATGTGACCTCCTGCTGCTCCTGGAACATGCCAGGGACACTTTTCCCCAGGACTTGCCCCTGGGAAGCTCTTCTTCCCTCCCCCAGCCACCTCATTTCAGGATTATTTGTTCTCTCACCTCCCTGAGGTGTTTGTTCAAATATCTCCTGAGTGAAGCCTTCTCTCACCACCTCAAGCTAAATATGTGTCCACCCTCTGACCCTTTTATTCCCTACCTCCCAATATATTTTGCTTCCCCTTAGCTTTCACCTCTGTCTAATAAACCATATGTTATTTTATCATGTTTATATTTTTGTTTTTATAACTAGGATATATGTTCTCTGAGAGCAGGGATTTTTGCTAGTTTATTCTATGCTATCTCTCAGGATGGAAAACAATATCTGATACATAGAAGGCCCTCAATAAATATTTGTTGAAATGAAGTATGCTAAGAACAGTTGTGAAAAGTTATAAACAATCATCAACAATGTTCAATACTAACGGTCTGGCTTAAAAATATATGAGCATGCATGGGATAGAATATTAAGTGGTCAAACTTTGTAATAACAGAAATTAATGTGCTATTACCTTAAGTGAAAAAGCTAAGTATACAATTTTATATATATATATATATATATATATATATATATATATATATATATATATAACATAAAGTCCTTTATGATTAAAAAAGACAGACTGTACAGAAATATGCTAAATTTCTAACAGATCAATCTAGGTATTAAGGGTGAATTTTATTCTGCTTCTTTATGTATTTTCATGTTCTTCCCAAATTCTCTTCTGTGAGTTGCACTTCTTTTTATAATCAGAAAAATATAACATCATCAACAACAAAACCCCTCAAAGATTCTGCAATTATTTTTAAAAGACTGATTAAAACAAACAAAATAACCCTGACATTTGCTTGGCCTTTTTAAAATCATGCATCACTTGAGTCCTACAATTACTGGGCCTTTTCTGTGTGCCAGGCACTGTGGGGAATATAAAGATGAAAGTCCCTTTCCTGACTTTAAGATGTCAGTTAAGAGAGCAAGGACACCTTCCCTCAGTGAAAAGGGATCATAATGCCGGCTGTGAAAGAAGTTCAAGCAAGTGTCAGAGGACCAGCTGAGCTACTGAGAATAAGATCATTCCTCTTGTTTTGAGAATTTTTCAATCAAAGAAGGATCCAACCCAATTAATTACATGTTTTGCATAGCAGCATGTATTGATGTATCATACTCAAAATTCACACTCAAGAGCCTTGAAATTATAGGTGTTAGTCCCTAGGCATAACAAATAGGTAGATAATATACTACTCTAACCAGAACCGTATCTGTATTAATTAATCCCCAAACACCCACTATGAATCATCCACTGTGCTGGTACTGAGAATACAATGCTAGGTAAAACTCAATGTCTTTCCTCAAGGGATGACTGGACCAATTTAAAAACAAACAGGCACATGGACATATTAAATAGAGATTCGTATGTGATACAAAGCAGAAATATTCAGAGAGACTTTGGTTGTGAAAGCCCACCTGGGATGGGATTTTCAGTGACTGATTTGGCAAAGTATTTCCAGAGAAGGTGACATTTGAAAACAGAAATAAAATACAATTAGTAATTTACTAATACAAGGAAAAAGTCATGGCAGTGGGTGGAGAATGCTGTCGATTTTTTCTGGAATGAAGAAAGATCCTGCAGAAGTCACAGCTGAGAGAGAGGGGACACACACGCGCCTGTCTGCCTGTCTACACTTGGAACCAGTGAGTTTAGTATCATAAAAACCAGAAGGACTGGAGGATTGAAAGGAGATGGGGTAAGAAGAGATATCTCTAGAGCTTTCTTTTAATATTAGATAAATTGTGATGTTGATAATTTGTAACATAAAATATAATGTTACTAAATATATACTAAAAATAGATGACTTATTGTGAAATACTAAATATCTACCTTTTCTTTCTTAAAATAAGTGAATGCCCTCTTGGTGCCATATACACTTAGGAGATCTCTATCATATTTTTTCTGCATCCAGAGAAACCTTTAAAAACCATGAGAGTAGTTCCTTCTCTAATTTTGATTTCTCCTTTGTAGGAAACTTTAGTAATCTATATGCAAAATGTCTTGGCTAAAATAGACACCCAGTGTATGTTAGGTCTTTACCATCTACCCACCAAGAAGGGCAATGTCTAAGAATGAGGATTCTATTTATTTATAGCTTATGGCATAAATAAATAGTTCATTTATCTTATACTGATATATAAATAATTATTTGTGAACTTATTTATGTAGTTATATCACACTGTTCCTTAACTCAGTGTCATTGTAAAACTTATTATATACTCAGCCCAATAAGGTGCATCAAAAACACGCCAGGTTTGGAAAGCACTTTGGCACTAAGGGAAGGATATGCATTGCACATTCTCAGTGCAATGGATTCTAAACAAGACACTTATATTTAGAATTAATCAGAGTCTTAGAGAAACGTTGTGATTGTTTATTCAATCTGATGCTTCAAATTATCTCTTTCCAAAGTCTTTGAAATCAATCTGTCAAATAATCATCAAGAGGAATGAGTTTATGCTAAACTCCACATGTGAAATTTAAGGATGACAAAACAAATGGTTGGCTCCATTACAATTCAATTTGTTGTTACTTGATTGCTATTCTAAATATATGATAAGTAAGGAGATACTCCTTCTATCATCATACCTATCCAGCTGCCTTCAAATTCTTACTTCAGTAAACAGAAATGAGAACCTATAATGCTATTTTCAAGGCTTATGATATTTGAAGGTAGACTAGAAACAAACAACAACAACAACAGCAAAATAGAAGAAGGGTACTATTGGAAAAAAAAAAAAAAAAAAAAACAACAGGATGCCAGCAAAGATAGCTATAAGGAACATGTCTGAACTCCAGGCCAGGTCAAAGTCATAGTCTTGCTTAGTAGAGGATGAAATCTAGAAACCAAGCTGGGTAAGATTTTGGGAGACACAAGGCTATGAAACTAATAACCAAACATATATTAATAACTAGACCCGAAAGAGTGAAGAGAATGAAATATGAAGTGTGAAACATCATTTGATCTTGGACAAGTGAATTCTGTTCTGGCCCTTTGTCATTACTAAATAAAATAAGGATTGGATCAGTAACTCTTAGTTTTTTTTCTTCCTTTTTTTAAGCACTGAAACTCATTTTTAAAAACTATTTGTGTATTTAATGTATAATATTGAATATGGCTAAAGCACAAGTAGATATGTGAGCATAGAGTCTTGCCTTCTCTTCAGGCTCTTGCCCTGGAGTAACACCAAACAGTCTTTTAACCCAGGATTCCAAGGGCCAAAACTGAAAAATACAGGAGAAAGTTCCTTCTGGTTCTCACTTTGCACTCTGTGGTTTTTTTTTTTTTTTAAGTAGCCCAACATTGAGGCGAGGGAGGTTCATAGACTTTCTTCTTTCTGTTCTGTTCTGTTTCATCACCAGATGAGATAGTTTTAAAGTAAGATATGAAATGAGAAAGAGTTTACCTCTAAAACAGGAGAAGAGACCATGTAAATTTACCTCATTTTGAAGCTTCTTTTCAAAAATAATATTTATTTTCAAAAAATTATTTTATGATCCTACTCATTAAGAATTATGTATAAATACATAGATGTAAAATGAGATGCAATCAATAAAATTAGAAATATTAAAAAATTAAAAATCAGTGGTTATCGTGCACTTGTTCCACACCATATATTTTGTTAAATTCTGGGTGAGGGGGAAGAAGGAGGGAGAACATAACAAAGTCACATTTGGAGTCAGTGGATCCAAATGATGCTGAGCCGACAGGGTCTAGTGCAGGTGCGAAAAGGGAAAAAGCTAAGACAGAGTGGACCTGGAGATAGAAAAATAGAAAAAGAGGGTAGATTGAGGAAGGTATTACCAGGAGTTGTGTTGCTATTAGCAGCAGAGCTGTCGTAATCAAACAATGGGATTTGAGAAAAAGAAATATAGGTGGTGGACAATAAACTGGAGTGGCAGAATTGCTATCTGAGTGATTGGTTAATGAGTTCTAAGAACCTAAGCACTCTGAGTGGAACAGGCTAACATCTTTTATTTTAAAAATATCTTTATTACATAGCAGTAATAAGTGTGTTGAGATTGTGTCTATAGATACAGTACCAACGATATTCACTCTAACACATAGATAGAAGGAAAATAATTTTATATTAACTAGATTTGCAACTCTCATCATCGATAAATCTGATAGGCATGTTGTGAAAATAAAATAGGGAGACAGCCCAAAATATACAACATAATATTTTTTATTTTTTTAAATGCATATAATTTATAGTCTGTGGTGGACACCATGATATGCTTCCCAAAGGTTCCCTCAAGGAATGACTTCTGTTCCGGCTTCTGAAAATGTTGTGAGCAGATAATCCCCAGATGTCAGTCCCATTAGGGATTGCCTCAGATATAGGAGCTACTTTGCTAAGACCTCACATTCACTTACAGATAGAAACTGATTTGGGATCTTTCTAGCTTTTTGATGTGAGCATTTAGTGCTATAAATTTCCCTCTTAACACTGCTTTTGCTGCGTCCCAGAAATTCAGGTATGTTATCTCTTTGTTTTCAGTAGTTTCAATGAACTTTTTGATGTCTGTCAATTTCATTATTTACCCAGGAGTCATTCAGGAAGAGGTTGTTCAATTTCCATGTAGTTCTTTGGTTTTGAGTGAGTTTCTTAATCCTGAGTTCTAATTTGATTGCGCTATGATCTGAGAGACTGTTATGATGTCAGTTCTTTTGCATTTGCTGAGGAGTGTTTTACTTCCAATTGCGTGATCAACTTTAGAGTAAGTGCCATGTGGCAATGAGAAAATGTATATTCTGTTATTTTTGGATGGAGAATTCTGTTGATACCTATCAGGTACACTTGATCTGGAGCTGAGTTCAGGTCCTGAATATCTTTGTTAATTTTCTGTCTCAATGATCTGTCTAATATTGTCAGTGGGGTGTTAAAGTCTCCCACTATTATTGTGTGGGAGATACAGAGTTTCAGCCATTTGGCCAATGCAAGGCAACTCTAAAGGGCCATGGCTCACTCCAGAGCTTCTCTTGAGGTTGGCTGAGGCTGATGTGGGCCTGAATCATTGCTGTCCCTGTCCCTCTGCTGCAATCTGCATCTTTTCACTCCCTGCCGTGAGATATCCCACATAGACATCCTGTTCATTACATTCTATCTTAGAATCTGCTTTCTGGAGAATTCAACCACCGACATGGTGTATGGGGGTCGAAATGGAGTGGGATTCAGGTTAGGAGCAAAGGAAAAAACAAATAAAGCCTCTTTAAAGTAAATATGAATAAAATAGGGTGTATGCACTAATTGATCATGATACTATGCCACAAAATAATGATTATGATTAATCTGAAGGCCTCTAAAACATACTTGTCATTATTAAAATTAGTATGCAACAATATGTACATACTAATAATATTAGGAAAATTGTATTTCCACTTGTTTTCTTATGTAAAATAAGTTGTAGGCATTATTTTCATTAGATATAATGAGGGAAATGAGTTCAAAGAATTAAGTCACAGGCCAAGGTCACATAGTAAATAATACAACTTGAACTAAGACTCTTTCTCTGTGTTTTGTATTTTGGGCTCTTACTAAGTTGTCTGTGATATATTTCTTTTTTTTTTATTATACTTTAAGTTTTAGGGTACATGTGCACAACATGCAGGTTTGTTACATATGTATACATGTGCCATGTTGATGTGCTGCACCCATTAACTCGTCATTTACATTAGGTATATATCTCCTAATGCTATCCCACCCCCATCCCCTGACCCCACAACAGGTCCCGGTGTCTGGTGTTCCCCTTCCTGTGTCCAAGTGTTCTCAATGTTCAATTCCCACCTATGAGTGAGAACATGTTGTGTTTGGTTTTCTGTCTTTGTGATAGTTTGCTGAGAATGATGGTTTCCAGCTTCATCCATGTCCCTACAATCGACATGAACTCATCGTTTTTCATGGCTGCATAGTATCACATGGTGTATATGTGCCACATTTTCTTAATCCAGTCTATCATCATTGGACATTTGGGTTGCTTCCAAGTCTTTGCTATTGTGAATAGTGCCGCAGTAAACATACGTGTGCGTGTGTCTTTATAGCAGCATGATTTATACTCCTTTGGGTATATACCCAGTAATGGGATGGCTGGGTCAAATGGTATTTCTAGTTCTACATCACTGAGAAATCACCACACTGACTTCCACAATGGTTGAACTAGTTTACAGTCCCACCAACAGTGTAAAAGTGTTCCTATTTCTCCACATCCTCTCCAGCACCTGTTGTTTCTTGACTTTTTAATGATCACCATTCTAACTGGTGTGAGATGGTATCTCATTGTGGTTTTGATTTGCATTTCTCTGATGGCCAGTGATGATGAGCAATTAGTAGAGTAGAATGCCATACAGGAGCAAATTAATGCCTGAGTTAAATGCAGATTTTTTGGGCCAGGTGCAGTGGCTCATGCCTGTATTCCCAGCACTTTGGAAGGCCAAGGTGGGCAGATTACCTGAGATCAGGAGTTCAAGACAAGCTTGGCCAACATGGAGAAACACAGTCTCTACTAAAAATACAAAACTTAGCCGGGTGTGGTGGTGCAAACCTGTAGTCCCAGCTACTTGGGAGGCTGAGACAGGAGAATTGCTTGAACCCAGGAAGGGGGAGGTGCAGTGAGCTGAGAACACGCCACTGCACTCCAGCCTGGGCGACAAGAGCGAGACTCTGTCTCAAAAACAAAAAAAAACAAAAAAAACCTAAAAACAAAAACCCAACTTTTTTTTTTTTTAATCTACAATACAGCTGCACTGTTGGTAGAAGTGAGAATCTAACTGGTGGCTGGCAGGAAAGGACATCTCATGTGCATAGTAGGCTGGTGTGTTTAGGAGCAGACTAAGGGAACTGAAAAAACTTATTGAAAGTATCACCAGTGAAACAACGAGGAACTGTTACTAATGAAGCAATAGTGTGTGTGTGTGTGTGTGTGTGTGTGTCTGTGTGTCTGTGTGTGTGTATCTCCCCTCATTGACATAGCCCCTCCTGGTATGTGATATATAAGAAACTCAGAGCAAAACAATGGGCTGAATCAGGAGATACTTCCCAAGAGTGTCAATTTTAAAATATTCAAAAAAAGCTTGGCTAGTTATATATATTTTTAGTGATTTCCATTATTCATGGTTTTCTAGTTCTATGATTAGTTTTCTTTTGTTTTGTTGTTTTTCTGGTCTTTTTTTATTTGTCTGTTTGTTTTGTTTTGTTTTTAACATAGAGTCTCACTCTGTCATCCAGGCTGGAGTGAGGTGGCATAATCACAGCTGAATGCAGCCTCAATCTCCCAGGCTTAAGAGATCCTCCCTCCTCAGCCTCCTGAGTAGCTGAGAAAACAGGCATGTGCCACCATGGCCAGCTAACTTTTTAAATTTTTTTTAAGAGATGGGGGTCTCACTGTGTTACTCAGGCTGGTCTTAAATTCCTGAGCTCAAGCTATCCTCCCACCTCATCCTCCCAAAGTGTTGGAATTACAGGCATGAGCCACCACACCTGGCCTACAATTAGGTTTTAAAGGACTTTGAGCCATGAAGTACTGTAACTTCTTGATTACAAGTATGAGTAATTCAAAATCCAACCTACCACCTTTATAGGGAATAGGTAAAACAACAACAACAACAACAACAACAAAACTGTAAGAACCTTCCACAGTACTGCTTTCACTAATGTATTCACATTCACTGTCCATCTGTTTCTTGAAACTATGCTCTCTTTTACTGAAGTAGAAATCACACTCCTCTTCTCATTACTGCTACTTTCTCCTTAAGGTGGAGTGATTTGTGTTTCATTGCCTCTGCCATTCTTTATTTAGTGCTTGCCTCTTAGACACCACAGGAATCATTCTCATTATAGACTTCGTTTGCTCTGTTCCTCTTATAGATCTTGACATAGCTTTTCTGAAAGTCATTCCATATGCATACGTTTGTTAAATCAACAGTATCCTTAACAGTGCTGCATCATTTTGGAAGATATCGACATTCAACTTCAATATTGTATATGGGCCACCTCATCTCATTTGTAGCCAATCAGATATCAGAAAAGACAGGCCAAGGGCAAGCTACATCAGAACCACAGTACTACTTATTTCCCCCACTAGATCAGGGAAACATATGTGCTTTCCTTTTTTTCCCCAAATGACTCCAATCTTTTTTTTTCTCACAGTTGTTAATTATATTTTAACTTGCATAATATATCTGCAAAATGTGGGAAAGTTATAGATGGCATTTGTTTCAAACATGGCTGGTTCTTAATATAGGAAACTTTTAGAAAAGATTCTGAATAGTAAGTGTCGAATTGTCTTTTAAATGTGTTAGCACTAAGCCAAAATGGAAAAAAAAAAAAAGAAAAAAAGAAAAAAAGAAGACTGCCTTGATTTGGCTTTCAAGTGTAAACCCATGTCTACTTCTTAAGTGCTTAAAGTTCTTTCTCATCTACCCTCAAATAAAGAGGGAACTGCAATTGAGACACTGATCTTCCACTTAGGACAGGGAACATCCCTGTCATTTACTTGGGAAGAAAGGCAATCCTGACCTTTGCTTTCTTAGAGATTTGTTTAAAAGGATATTCATCTCAGTACAGCCCACTTCTCAACAGTACTGATTTAACAAAGTTCCCCAATTTCACATTTACATTGGAAAAAAAAAACCCTTTTGCATAAATGTAATAACAGAAAGGAACATGAAAATCCATTAGAACTATTGTAAGTAACCAGAGTGATCAGTTTTTCCTTATCATTTGTCCCATAAAAAAACGAATAAATATATTCGTTTTTGTAGGAAAATGAATGCTTTGGAAGCTCCCATTGTGAAACTTATTTGGCCTTTTAAAAACTTGGATGGATAAGTTAAAAAGAAAAGATGTACATTTGTGTTTGACAGTAAAAGGGAGAATTATTGAAAATCAACATGATAGAGAAAAATATTATTTTTTATGCCTTTAATATCTTTACACTATTCATTATTTTGAAGAAATATCTATGCTTAGATGACAAGTGCAATAAATTTATTCAAAACATGTAGCATATGATGGAATACAAATCAAATGCCTGCCTGGAAATAAAATTAAAGCAATTATCATGATTTAGAAGCAGTTGGATTTTCAATAAAATAAATAAGTGCTTAGATCATGGAGCAGATTTGATAATACATTTTAGACATTAAAATATAAATATACATTATTTTAAATATTTGTTTTCTTCGTAATGGTGTCAGACATGATGTAGCCAAGACTTTAGCCTAAACAAAGAGATACTTACATAATAAAGGCTCTGGCTTGGTGTGGTGGCTCACACTTGGTAATCCCAGCACTTTGAGAGGCTAAGGCTGGCGGATCATGATGTCAGGAGATCAAGACCCTCCACGCCAACATGGTGAAGCCCTGTCTCTACTAAAATATCAAAAGTTAGCTGGGCATGGTAGTGCGCACCTGTAGTCCCAGCTACTCAGGAGGCTGAGGCAGGGGAATTGCTTGAACCCGGGAGGCAGAGATTGCAATGAGCCAAGATAGCACCACTGTGCTCCAGCCTGGTGACAGGGTGAGACTCTGTCTCAAAATAAAAAAATAAAAATGAAGGCTCTTAGAGTGGTAGGTCCACTGTTAATCTCTAAGAGTCATCAGTGGAACCTCTCCAATGCTCTTTGCTTAGTCCACACTCCATTGCAGGGCGGGGGGACCTCTAAACAGAGAGGTGGCCTGAGGAACAGCAGAACTTAGTGAATGTCATCTGGTAGCTCTGCTTATTTGCTGTTTGTTACATATAATTTCTCCTTCCTAATTCTTGATATTTCCTCTTGCCTCTCTCTTAATTCTGTTTCAACCAGTTGGTTCAAAGCCAATAAAAGTTACTCACTATTTGTGTCAATAACTTTATTGGCACCTTGTACCATTTAAAAAAGTTACTTTAAGTGACCCTCACTAATATTACTTCGTTTTAGAGCTTTACGGCGAGATATTTCATACACCATCAAATTTACCCGTTTAAAGTGTACGGTTCAGTTGTTTTTAGTATAGTCACAGAGTTGTTGATTTCATTTATTTCTAGTCTAAACTTCTATTTTCTTCCTTCCACTTGTCTTGGGTTTAGTTAGCTGTTGTTCCTCTAGTTTCTGAAAATGAAAGTAACGTAATTGACTTGAGGTGTTTTGTCTTTCTCAAAGTTGATATTTACAGCTATGAATGTCTTCTTATGCACAGCTTTACCTGCATCGTTTCAGTTTTGTAATGCTATGTTGTTTTCATTTATCTCAAAATATTTTCCATTTCCCCCTGTCTTCTTCTTTGACCCATGGGTTATTTAGAAATGTGTTGTTTACTTTCTATGTATTTTTAAATTTGCTAGGGGCCTGAAAGTATGGGCAATGTATTGAGTGTGCTCTTGAGATAGTGCTTTTAAGAGATCCCTAGGCAGTCCGATCTCTCTATTGTCTACACTGATGCAAGCTTTTGGCTACCACACCACTGAGCTGGGGAGACAGGGGGATGGGAATAGTTGCATAGACTATATTTTCATTTGTTCTGTGGCTTTTGTTAATTACCAGAGTTCCCAAATGGTTTGTGTTTGGTGTTTGGCTGATTTTCCCATTGTTTTAGAGAATGAGAGAGTTTATTACTCTGCTATTCTGAAAGCTCCAGAATAACTCTTTTAGTCTTCAGAGACAACTTTGGATTAGGGTGATGTTATCCCCATTTTTCAACCAACTAAATTGTGGCCCAGATGTGAAATCATCTATTCAAGGTCAGGCTCCTTATTTATAACATAGCTGGAACTTAATCCAATTATTTTTTCTTCTTGCCCTACTACTGTATTCTTTCCCCCGTATCACAGCTCATTCACTTTATTACTAGTTACTTACACCTTAAATGTCTTGACCTGGAAGGAATCTCAGAGATAACCAGGTCCTAGCCTTTCACTTTACAGATGAGAAAACCACAGTCCAAAGTGGTACAGTGCTTTTCTTAGTATTTTATTGCCAGCTACTCTTAACACGTGCTTTTCGTATTGTTCTCTCTGGTTTTCAGGTGGGGACTTCTATCTGCTCCCTGACGCTGCTTTCAGACCTTGTCCCTTCCTTATCCAAAGCTGTGAATAAATAGTCTCCCTCCCATTGAATCCTTCTGCTATGGTTTGAATGTATGTCCCCTCCAAAATTCATGTTGAGACCTAGTCCTTAATACAGTAGTGTTAAGATATGTGGCTTTTGGAAGGTGATTAAGTCATGGACTTTGTCCTCATTAATGGGTTAGCGCTCTTACAAAAGGACTAAAGTTCCTTACAAAAGGAAGTACCCTCTTGACCTTTCTGTGTCTTCTGTCATGTGAGGACATATCTGTTGTCTCCTCTGGATGATGTAGCAACACGGTATCATTTTGGAAGTGGAGATGAGGCCTTTACCAAAACCTACCTAGCTGGCACCTTGTGCTTGAATTTCCCAGCCTCCAGAACTGTGAGAAATAAATTTCCATTGTTTATAAATAACCTGGTCTCCATTTGTTATAGCAATACACACAGACAAAGATACCCTTTTATGCTTGAAATTTCTCCAGGAAGATCTGAGTCCTTTTTAAGAGCTGATGCACCTGATTAGGTCAGACTCAGTCAGCATTATCTTCTTTTCTCAAAATAAATTGACTTGGGACTTTAGTTACTTATGAAAAATGTCTTTACAGGAGCATTGTGGGATACTGCTTGAATGGATAACTGGAGGAAGGTGAATATACCTCAGAAAGTGAAAATCTTGGGAGCCATGTTATAATTTCATCTAACACAAGACATGTGTCTTTTTTCCTTTTAGAGCAACCTGATTCCCCTTTTAGAGAGGAATACTCAGGCACCTGTGCATTCACTGAAGATAGCACATCACTTGATCCACACTGGAATTTATTATGCCATACACTGCTGTCACTGAATTTAAGAAAGGCAATGTAGAAGTTGAATTTGAATTTTATATTAGAAGAGAATCTACATATTAATATTTTACTTATCTATATAAATCATTTTAATCATATTAAGTTAAATTTAAGCCAATATTTATGTGGGTTTGATAAAAGTCAGTTGGTGGATAAAGAATAATTTCATCTCCCATCCCCAAGGATTTTTATTTAGTAACATATTTTCTTGATAAAGTTAAAATTAAAAATAATCTACAAAGTTGTGCTTGTAGAAAACACCAGGGAAAAATTATGAGCCAAGTCCTATTTAGTACAGAAGTGTTGGACAGTCAACTTTCAAGAAGCCCAAGGTAAATCATTATGTCTAATTAAACAGTACAGCAGATCAGTCAGATTGACTATAGCAAGAGTATTATCTTTAAAAATATTGAAATGCATGAATATTTCCAGAGAGAACTAAGTAGTCCTATTACAGAGCATACTTTTCTTTATAACTAGAAGAATATGAAGTTAGAAGTTCTCAAACTACTGAACTGCAGTTTCAATTAAAGTATAAGTTTGTGGGACTCACCACACTTCAGTCTTTATCTTCAAAGTTCTAAAAGTAAATCACAGTTTTCCATGGTTTTCAGTCATCGTAATTATTTTTGCCCCATAATGTTGCTAATCCTATGACTACAGAGACTTCAAGGACAAATATTTGCATTTCATATCTTTCTTTCCTTGAGTTATAAATCTCTGCCACTTCCAAGAAGAAGCCTAAGAGAAAGACAGTTGCCAAATAATTTAGAGAAATCAATCTTCTAAAATTTAATTTCCATTTTTAAAGGTTCCTATTCCTAATTAGGTATACATCTGGCCAAGGTTTTTTAAAAGTAAAATGGTGTTCTTCAAACAATATCCAAATATAGGTCAACCAAAATCAGTGGAAGGAGCTGGGGTTACTCATGGACTTCCAATGAGAGTTGACCTATTCTCATCTTTATTCTTGCTGGAGACTGAACTCAAGCCTTGGTTGATTGTAGATACTCTGTTCTACTGATGAGTTAAGTCCATCCATGAACAGTGCTTTACCTCTGAAAATGCATAGTCATGTAACGGCTACTCTTGATCTCAAGTGATTGACATCTGTGTGTTCCAACTTAAAGAACACTTTCAAGTTTCCATCAACCCCACCTTACAAATAAAGTAATGATCACTTCTGGGGTAACTGATGACTAGTACTATACGACTCTAGAGTCTCCAAAGTTATCCAGAGGCAATCTATAATTCCATAGAATTGAAGGCATGTATTATAAAATATAAAAAAAATATGATATTACTCTGTTAAGGCAATTGGGCATACCAACACATGCAATGAATAACTCATCTATGCTCTTTCCTCTTTTGTAGCCTTTAAAGTGTAGTTATAGTTTCACAGGATTTCAGGTGATTTATCTCAGTCTTCCAGCCAAAGCTATTCCTCTACTACCTCCATGGATTCTGTCTGATAACTATGTTCACCACTGGGAAGCATCTCACTTTTATACACTTCACTCCATTATTAAGTAACTGCTGTTATTAAAATCGTTTCTATTACATTTAACCAAAACCTGACTCCTTCTAACTTACATCTTGGATCTGCTTGACTCTCTGGAACCACACATCATGAATTGATTATGTCAAATATCTAAAGACGCCTATCAAGTTAAACGTTTGACTTCTGCTTTATTTCTAACTCTCAAGTCAGTGAAACTTGTCCAGATTACTTTTGGAAGCAGGAGAAAATGCAAATCAAATTGCATCATATTTTTTGAGAATCTACTATGGTTAAGTCAGTGTGCTGGGAAGTGGGGTAGATAAAAAGATGAATAAAATAGTATAGCCATATTCAAGGAGCTTACAATTAACTCAATAGAGTATCTCATAGTTATCACTATTTTGTCATTTAAAATAATATTCCAAGAAAGACAAGTTAGTTTAGTTGATGATACAAACCCAGCAGGATCTATGGTGCCTTTAGGTTATGTTGAAATCTAATGTATTTATAGACATACTGTGTGGTTTAAAGAACTTCCTATCAATTTTTAAATTGCATTCTGCTCATAAAGAATTAGAAGACTTCTAATTCCCCCAAGGCCAACTTTTCAGCTCTCATAAAAGATGCTGATTCTATTACCATTGTGTATTTCTAATTAAACAGCATATTTTCTCAGAAGAGTCTAAACACTTTAGATATTAATAGTAACCACTTTTATAATAAAAATAATATACAGCAAAAACACTAATAATTTTGATTATTTGTGAGAACAATAGAAAAGTAACAGATAGCTTATATTTCTATGTTTTTTTAAAAAATTATAGTTTAAGTTCTGGGATATATGTGCAGAATGTGCAGGTTTGTTACATAGGTATACATGTGCCATGGTGGTTTGCTGAACCCATCAACCTGTCATCTACATTAGGTATTTCTCCTAATGCTATCCCTCCCCTAGCCCCTCATGCCCTGTCAGGCCCTGGTGTGTGATGTTCCCCTCCCTGTTTCCATATGTTCTCATTGTTCAACTCCCACTTATTAGTGAGAACATGGAATGTTTGGTTTTCTGTTCCTGTGTTAGTTTGCTGAGAATGATGGTTTCCAGCTTCTTCCATGTTCCTGCAAAGGACATGAACTCATCCTTTTTTATGGCTGCATAGTGTTCCATGGTGTATATGTCCTATATATATATATACACATATACATATATATACACACACATATATATACATACATACATACATATATACATACATATATACATACATATATATACATACATGCATATATATACATACATATATATATATATACACACACATATTATACATTTTTGAGACAGAGTCTCACTCTCTTGCCAGGCTGGTGTGCAGTGGTGCAAACTCAGCTCACTGCAACCCCTGCCTCCTGAGTTCCAGTAATTCTCCTGCCTCAGCCTCCCAAGTAGCTGGGACTACAGGTGCATGCCACCATGCCCAGCTAATTTTTGTGTTTTTAGTAGAGATGGGGTTTCACTGTGTTGGCCAGGATGGTCTCGATTTCTTGACATCATGAACCTCCCATCTTAGCCTCCCAAAATGCTGGGATTACAGGTGTGAGCCACTGCACCCAGCCCACATTTTCTTTATTCAGTCTATCATTGATGGTCATTTGGGTTAGTTCCAAGTCTTTGGTATTGTGAATAGTGCTGCAGTAAACATATGTGTGCATGTATCTTTATAGTAGAATGATTTATGATCCTTTGGGTATATACGCAGTAATGGGATTACTGGGTCAAATGGTATTTCTTGTTCTAGATCCTTGAGGAGTCACAAAACTGTCTTTCACAGTGGTTGAAATAATTTACACTCCCACCAACAGTGTAAAAGGGTTCCTGTTTCTCCACATTCTCTCCAGCATCTGTTGTTTCCTGACTTTTTTTTTTGTTGTTGAGAGAGCGTTTCACTCTTGTTGCCCAGGCTGGAGTGCAATGATGTGATCTTGGCTCACGTTAACCTCTGCCTCTTGGGTTCAAGTGATTCTTCTGCCTCAGCCTCCCAAGTAGCTGGGATTACAGGCATGCGCCACCACACCCACCTAATTTTGTATTTTTAGTAGACATGAGGTTTCTCTGTGTTGGTCAGGCTGGTCTCAAATTCCTCACTTCAGGTGATCCTCCTGCCTCGGCCTCCCAAAGTGGTGATATTACAGGTGTGAGCCACTGCACCCGGCCTGTTTCCTGACTTTTTAATGATGGCCATTCTGACTGGCGTGAGATGGTATCTCCTTGTGGTTTTGATTTGAATTTCTCTAACGACCAGTGATGATGAGCCTTGTTTCGTATGTTTGTTTGCTGCATAAATGTCTTCTTTTGTGAAGTGTCTGTTCGTATTCTTCACCCACTTTTTGACAGGGTTGTCTTTTTTTTTTTGTAAACTTGTTTAAGATTCTGTATATTAGCCCTTTGTCAGATGGATAGATTACAGAAATTTTCTCCCATTCTGTAGGTTGCCTGTTCACTCTGATGATAGTTTCTTTTGCTGTGCAGAAGCTCTTTAGTTTAATTAGATCCTATTTGTCAATTTTGGCTTTTCTTGCCATTGCTTTTGGTGTTTCAGTCATGAAGTCTTTGCTCATGCCTATGTCCTGAATGGTATTGCCTTGGTTTTCTTCTAGGGTTTTTATGGTTTTAAGTCTTATGTTTAAGTCCTTAATCTTACTTGAGTTAATTTTTATATAAGGTGTAAGAAAGGGTCCAGTTTTAGTTTTCTGCATATGGCTAGCCAGTTTTCCCAACCACATTTATTAAACTGGGAATTCAGATTGTTGTAGTAGGGATGGGGTTTCACCGCGTTGGCCAGGATGGTCTCCATCTCAAATGGTTGTAGATGTGTGGTATTTCTGAGGCCTCTTTTCTGTTCCATTGGTCTATCTATCTGTTCTGGTACTAGTACCGTACTGTTTTGGTTACCATAGCCTTGTATCATAGTTTGAAGTCAGGTAGTGTGATGCCTCCAGCTTTTTTCCTTAGGATTGTTTTGGCTATACTGGCTCTTTTTTGGTTCCATATGAAATTTAAAGTATTTTTTTCTAGTTCTGTGAAGAAAGTCAATGGTAGCTTGATGGGGATAGCAGTGAATCTATAAATTACTTTGGCAGTATGGCCATTTTAACAATATTGATTCTTCCTATCCATGAGCATGGAATATTTTTCCATTTGTTTGTGTCCTCTCTTAGTTACTTGAGCAGTGTTTTGTAGTTCTCCTTGAAGAGGTCCTTCACATTCCTTGTAAGTTGGATTCCTATTTCCTTTGTAGCAAGTGTGAATGGGAGTTCACTCATGATTTAGCTCTCTGTTTGTCTATTGTTGGTGTATAGGAATTCTTGTGATTTTTCACATTGATTGTGTATCCTGAGAGTTTGCTGAAGTTGCTTATCACCTTAAAGAGATTTTGGGCTGAGACAATGGGGTTTTCTAAATATACATTTATGTCATCTGCAAACAGAGACAATTTGACTTCCTCTCTTCCTATTTGAATACACTTCATTTCTTTCTCTTGCCTGATTGCCCTGGACAGAATTTCCAACACTATGTTGAATAGGAGTGGTGAGAGAGGGCGTCCTTGTCTTGTGTCAGTTTTCAAAGGGAATGCTTCCAGCTTTTGCCCATTCAGTATGATATTGGCTGTGGGTTTGTCATAAATAGCTCTTATTATTTTGAGATATGTTCCATCAATGCCTAGTTTATTGTGAGTTTTTAGCATGAAGCGGTGTTGAATTTCATCGAAGGATTTTTCTGCATCTATTGAGATAATCATGTGTTTTTTGTGATTGATTCTGTATATGTGATGGATTACGTTTATTGATTTGCATATGTTAAACCAGGCTTGCATCCCAGGGATGACGTCAACTTAATCGTGGTGGATACGCTATTTGATGTGCCACTGGATTCAGTTTGCCAGTGTTTTATTGATGATTTTCACATTGATGTTCATCAGGGATATTGGCCTGAAATTTTCTTTTTTTGTTGTGTCTCTGCCAGGTTTGGGTATCAGAATGATGCTGGCCTCATAAATTGAGTTAGGGAGGAGTTCCTTTTTTCTGTTGTTTGGAATAGTTTCAGAAGGAATGGTACCAGCTCCTCTTTGTACCTCTGGTAGAGTTCGGCTGTGAATCTGTCTGGTCCTGGGCTTTTTTTGGTTGGTAAGTTATTAATTACTGCCTCGATTCCAGAACTTGTTATTGGTCTATTCTGGGATCCAGCTTCTTCCTGGTTTAGCCTTGGGAGGGTGTGTGTGTCCAGGAATTTATCCATTTCTTCTAGATTTTCAAATTTATTTGCGTAGAGGTGTTTGCAGTACTCTCTGATGGTAGTTTGTATTTCTGTCCTTATATTTCAAGTAGAAACACGGAAGAATTTTGAGGCTTATTATAAGAAGATATGTTCATATAGCAGATTACATTTATTATAGTTCTGTAACTTCACATTTTAAAATTCTGTTCTAATTGTCTCTTTCCCATCAATATGTGCTTTGTAATGGCTTAAACTGGTACATGTAAAACAAATTTCAGATTGAAATTCAATTACTCTCTCCAGAAAATCAATTACTCGATTCAGTCATTCTTTTCATTGTTTCATCTATCCACTCATTCAGTGCTAAGCTCTCTATTCATAACACAAAAATGAAACAGATACAGAAGTTCATGGTTTCATAATGGAATTGGGTAGGTATATAATTATATTAACAGAATTTTGGTCAGCAATGTAGCAGAAATAGATGGTGGCTGTACTGGTGGCTTAAAGAAAGATTTGCAAAGTGTTGCTTAGAATGGTTGGGCTACATGCCACAGTGAAAGGAACACAGAAGATGCAAGATTTGAGCAGAGCTTACCAAGGAGGGAGGTCACCGAGTTGCATGAGGGCAACATCTGTGGCTGTGTTTTTTACCACTGTATCCTCGTGACTGACCTTTCAGCATCTTCACACAGAGTTGATTTCAGTAAAAATATTCAATGAATGTCTGATTTCCAGGTCATGAGAACAGCGAACGCAGAGGCTTACAAGTGTGAAAGAGTTTGACACAGTCTTGAAGCTCAAATTAGCTAAGTATGTCTGAAACATAGAGCTAATTCTAAGGAGGTAGGCAGGGACTCAATCATGTGGAATTTTGCATGTTATATAGAATGTTTTTCCCACAAAATTTTTCACAGTATGCCTTCTTCAGGCTTTTTTTTTTTTTTAACTTTTAAGTTCAGGGGCACAAGTACAGTTTGTTACTTAGGTAAACCTGTGTCATGGGGGTTTGTTGTACAGATTATTTCATCACCCAGGTACTAAGCCTGGTATCTATTAGTTATTTTTCCTGATCCTCTCCCTTCTCCCACTCTCCACCCTCCAAGAGGCCCCAGTGTGTGTTGTTCCCCTCGGTCCATGTGTTCACATCACTTAGCTCCCACTTATACGTGAGAACATGTGGTATTTGGTTTTCTGTTCCTGTGTTAGTTTGCTAAGGATAATGGCTCATATTAAACAGTCAAAAAATAACAGATGCTGGCGAGGTTGTGGAGAAAAAGAGTGCTTATACGCACTTGGTGGGAGTGTAAATTAGTTTAACCATTGTGGAGGAAAGAGTGGCAATTCCTCAAAGACCTAAAGACAGAAATACTATTCTACCCAGCAATCCTGCTACTGGACGTATGCCCAAAGGAATATAAATCATTCTATTATAAAGATACATGCATGTGTATCTTTATTGCAGTACTATTCCCTATAGCAAATACATGAAATCAACCTAAATGCCCAACAGTGATAGATTGGATAAAGAAAATATAGTACATATACACCATGGAATACTATGCAGCTCTT
Source organism: Homo sapiens (assembly GCF_000001405.40). NCBI lineage: Eukaryota > Metazoa > Chordata > Mammalia > Primates > Hominidae > Homo > Homo sapiens. The sequence continues at coordinate 14,867,292 of NC_000008.11, read as the reverse complement.
AAAAAGGACATGATCATGTCTTTGCAGGGATATGGATGGAGATCGAGACCATTATCCTACTTCAGGCGTTTGAACATTATTTTTAAACTTATAATTCATAAACAAGCTTTAGAAACATATTTCTTGTTTTTCCAAGAAAGAAAGAAAGAAAAGAATGAGCGAAGGAGAAAGTGGAGACAGAAAAACAAATTGCATTTGTCTAGGATAGTGAATGACCTAGACATTGGGAAACAGGATTGAGAACAAAAAACACCTTGGTGAAATTTTAGCTCCTACAGAATTTCAGTTACTTCCATCAGACCACTCTACATATACATGTATCCTAGGTAAAACAAAACAAACAAACAAAACAGCGTGCTCTCTCAGAAACTCCAACTTTAAGGCAACATTCTGAGGCTTTCCTGCTTTATCCCACTGCAAGCAGATAAACTTTTTTTTCTTTTAGTTTCTTTTTGAGACAAACAAACTCCAAACCTTTTTTTTCTTTTAGTTTCTTTTTGAGACAGGGTCTCCGTGTGTTTTCCAGGCTGGTGTAAAATGGTGAGATCAAGTCTTCTGGGTCTCAGGCTATCCTCCCACCTCAACCTCTAGAGTTGCTGAGACTAGAAGCATGCACCATCATGCCCAGCTCATTCTTTGTATTTTTGTAGAGGCGGTGTTTTGCTGTGTTGCCCAGGCTGGTCTCAAACTCCTGGACTCAAGCGATCTACCCATCTTGGCCTCCGAAAGTGCTGGCATTACAGGCATGAGTCACTGTGCCCAGCCCAAGTCTCATATATATGCACATTTTGGAGTTGATATTTTGTAAAGAAGAGCACCATATAAACAAACATAGATGTGTGTTTTTTTCTTTCTTATAGTCATAGTACCAGAATAATGACTGTGCTTGTTCTCAGAGTCTCAAAAGATGCTGAATGTTGATAATGAAATACTCAGAATAAAACCAGTGTTTTACCTTTTAATCTGTAGTAGCAATTCCATTGATTGGCCCCGAGAGAAGGTTTATTTTAAATACAGCAAACTTCACAATAAACTTTTAAAAAATTATCACTTAGACGGAAGAACAAGTTTGAAAATTTTGCTCCAAAATCAGAGATACATAAATAGATCCTTTCTTTTAATCATATGAAACTTGTTATTGCTTTTTGCCTAAAACAGAGGAAATTTTATATTAATATGTTACCTGTGAAGATTCTTTTTCTGCTTTACATTGTAAGGCCTAAATAGGAGAACAAATACCTCCTTATTAACATTCTTCTATAAAAAAATCAAAACTAACACCTTAAATCATTCACAACCCAATTTTCTCCAGAAACTTAGCAATTCCTTAAGAGTTAGGTCCTTATAGAGGCAAATTAATGACAAGGGGTCCCCAAGGTGTCGTTTGGTGATACTGTAAGCACCTAACTCCATAAGTACTTTATAAATTAAGGGTTGATTATTTGCTTTGCCAGAGAATTCTTTCCTTTATAAGAGATTCACCAGAGAATTCCTTTAATTAGCTAGTTCCCTAAGTGCTTGTAAAAAAGAAAGAGGCTAAGGTTCTAAGCCTCCCAACTCCTTTTAGAAGTTTATCCTGTTTCCGTTTTTAACTTCTTAGATTAAGTATTGTCTTTATGCAGATGTGTTGGCCTGGCCCCTTATGTAATTGAAGTGAGCGCACATCCCATGAACATCATTGCTTGCTGGGTTCATGGGTTAATTCGTGGAGAATGCAAAACGTGTCATGCTTATACCTGCATTCCAAGAACAAACAGATACCCCACGCTTCCTTCAGGTGACCTCACCCAACTTTCTTTTTCACCAGAATAATACAGAGATTGATTCATTCACAGGGGTTGATTGTGTTCCTGAGGGCAGAGCAAGAAGTAATTTAAAGAGGAGAAATCTTTGGCTTTCTATGGTAGACATCATAGGAAGGTGAGGTAGGGAGCTTTTTAGGAAGAAGAAATGCAGTGGAAAAAAGAACCCAGGACAATTATGAAGTAAGGGATATGGTCTGAGAGTTCCAGCAGAGTTAACTGGAATATGAGAGTAAGGGGCAGAAGAGACCTGGACGCAGGACGTTGAGAGGAGATGCAGGAGGTGAAGTGGTGGTGGTGTAGCTGGGAGTCACGTGACGGTGGACCTTGAATGTGATGCTAAGGACACTGAGTTTTATCTTATAGGTAGCAGGAACTATTGCACATTTTTTATAATTATATATTATGAATATATATATGTGTGTACACACACAAATCTGACAAGGATTAATCCAGAATATGCAGGGAACTCAATTCAACAGCAAAATAATAATAATGGGCTAAAAATTGAGCAAATGATCTGAATAGACCTTTCTCAAAAAAGACATAGAAAAAATGCTCAACATCACCAACCATCAAGGAAATGAAAATCAAAACCAATATAGGATACTATCTCAACCAAGTTAGAATAGCTATATGAAAAAGACCAAAAATAACAAACACTGATGAGGATAAGGAGGAACCGGAGCTCTTATATACTGTTGGTGGGAATACAAATTAGTTACCGGTTATGAAAAATGTGTATGGAGATCCTCAAAAAGCTAAAAATAGAATGGTCTTTTAATTTAATTAGATTCTACAGTTTAAGAAGTCTTCATCTTAATTAGATTAGAATTTCTCTTTTTGTACATGTTACCTGTTATTATTTCTCTGACTTTAATTTAAAAACCCTACAAACAAACAATCTAAATCTTATTATTAATTGATTTGTTTGTGAATACAAGTCACCGGGACACAAGATTCTAGTGGGACAGGAACATTAATTTATTCCAAAGAAGTTATCTCAAGATGGAAGATTGTATGTTATATGCTAATAGATATTTGAGTAAGCCTTTCATCGTAGTTGACTAAATTACTGACAGATTTTCAAGGACATAAAAGTCTAGGTTATGGAAAAGAAAATTAATATGTCTATTTAGTGATTTTACCTTCTAGTTGCAAGTTTTTGAGTAAGTTACAAATTGTAAGACTGGTTGACACAGATTTGTTTATACAAATGAACACAGGATGAAATAGAAAAAAAATAGGAAACATGTAAGTGGTGGGAAGTGTCATGAAAGTGGAGGATGTTTTCGAGCACAGTAGAATACGTAGAATACATGGTGACTATTGCTGAAAATCCAATGATGTTTTGTTCTTACCCTTCTAAATGAGCATCTAGTTCAAGAATATGTTGAAATAGGAATTTAGTAACTTTATGCTACCAGGAAATATATTGATGTGGGAATTGGTGAGGTCAAAGAGAAGGTCGCGTTCTGTTTTAAACTTGTCAGAGGCTCTCTATGAATAGTTAGTAATTTCTTGAATGTCTTTGGAATTATTTTGTACCGAACAAAGTTCTGGTCATTTCTTCCATGCAAGACACATTAAATTTTCATCTAAAGAGAGATCACAGCCCTCCCCATGAAAGGTACTAATTGCCCCCCTGAGTATATTAGTGTATTTCCAGCATTTACAACCCAGTCTTCACATGATGTGGATAATTTCATCTACTTAGCCATGTCACTGAGATAGGCAGTAACTCCATTCTGAAGCAGCTCCCTCTGCTTTTATCAGCAGCAGCAGTTTAAAGTCCAAGAAAATAATAATATCTGTTCTTAGAATTTACTCAACAGAAAACAGAACAAAATATTTTTTAAAAGCAGTTGATTTCCCTGACCTCGATCCTTAAAGCAGTGAAAGTGTTAGAGCCTGATAGGACTGTCAGTGTTCATTTTATCTTCTTTCTAGGTGACTCAGGCACTTATTTGAAATTAAAGCGCTAGAAACCTCACTATTTATAGCTGATCATAGTGGTGAGTACCTGTAGTCCCAGCTGCTTGGGAGGCTGAGGTGGGAGGATTGCTTGAGCCTGGGTGTTCGAGGCTGCAGTGAGCTATGATAGTGTCACTACACTCCAGCCTGGGTGACAGAGAGAAATCCTTTCTCTAAAAATAGTAATAATAATAGTAATTAAAAATCATCTTAATAAAAAGAAAACTCTGTATTTCTTAGCTAGTTACATAAATGCTTGCAGATGAGGCTCATATCCTCAGGGCAGAGCTGCAAGGCTATCAGTACGGACAGCTGCATGTAGCAGTGAAAGGATTAAGAGTTTGGTATAAGGCCAGGCTGGAAGCCCTGCACTGCCCATTCCTGGCTGTGTGACCTAAGGCAAGTCAGTGTTTCTGATGTTTTAAATATGTGAGATACATAACCGAGCGATGAACTCACCTTGTAGCTTCTCAATCATCCCAGTAATCAATATGATTTCAAAAATTGATTGATTTCCTTCTTATTTCCCTTCAACTTGGAAGGCCACAAGTTATAAGTCAACTCTGAAGCATATCTTCTCTGTAAGCAGCTGAACGAGCTGCTTCTCAAAAGCAGAACATGTATTCATTTTGAATTTCCTCTAGTGGCTTCTCTGTAAGATGAGCTGTTGCTGTCCCCAGCTATAGTGACTAGTGACTGTGTCTAGAGGGGAAAGCAGGTTTCTCTCTGCTCATACACCTCCTGCTCTCGTCAGTACACAAAGATGTGAGAAAGGCCTCTTTGAACCTTATTATAATCACTACATTATTTCTTCTAATTATAATCATTTCTGCAGCAGTCATTTTATATTGAGTCCAAACACAAAAGTGGGTTTGAGAAAATTTTTTTGCAACACATATATATATATAAAATGTATGTTTTGCAATTGTGTGTGTATATATATATATATATATATATATATATATATATATATATATATATCTTAAAGATGCAATTTTTGTTTCATAAAAGGCGACTTGGAAATTTGGTCTCATTTCTTGTTATACTTAAATTTATTCTATTTTGTCAAATAATTCGTGCATTATACCATGCATATGGTGACTAAACGCATAGATGATGTTCTCCATTTTTCTCATTTGCACAACAGCCACACTTAGTGATCTGTTGTGCCACTGGGAAGGTGTCTGTGTTGTACTCCTGGTCAAAGTACAGGTCCCTCAAATGGAGGAAGTGGTGCAGTATGCTCAGAAGTAGGTAATCACTAAATGACCCTCAGATTCTCAGAGCCTTGGTTTCCAATTTGAATAATAGGAAAGCCCTTCTACGGTCTTCTGGTGGCCTATATCAACACCTCTTTAAAACTTTACTAATTTTACCAAATGGTAGCTCAGGCACTGGGAATGACTTAATGTCGTCACTAGTGATAGGAAATACTATTTTGCTAAAAGAAAATTTTGTCTTCATCATTTTTTAAATGTTACTACAGACTATTTTTTTTTTCCAATGGTGGAATTCAGGTGTTGGCTCTGTTTTCTTCTTAATGTGCCTTTATAGTGGAAGCAAAGATTCACTGGTATAAATTAACAAAAATATCCATTTCAGTTAGTATTACATGTATTTTCCATCCTATTTGGAGAAGAAAGGAACTCTTTAATTAAGGGAACAGATTATTACAGCTTTCACCAAAGAAGAACTGACAGTTTGATAGCCTGACACCCCCTAAGGAATATCTCGATGTTGGGAAGCTTAGCAACACCACGTGCAAGTCTAAAGAACATAATTTGTGGGTCCCAGTGCAAAATGAAAATGCAAGACCACTTGTTCAAGCAGGAGAAAATTGCTATTAAAGTTTCTAAAATGGAAATCATGTTTCTATCTTTTACGGAATCTCTCTCAGGTAGTCAAAATGATATTTGCTATTTAATATCACTCCATGTAAAGAAAAATTAGTATTTTAATTATTAACATGAATTTTACTGTTCTTTATGTCATGCAATGCCAGTTTTAGAGGCATAATAAGATCATGTATTAATATGCAAGATCACTGAAATATACAATGTATATTTTGTAGCTCATACATATATACGCATTTCATTCTTACAAGAGCATTCTTACCGCTGTGCAAAGTTATCTCTATTCTTTATTTCACTTGTTAACACATGTGCATTCCACCAACACTCTCTGCTACCTTCAATTTCAGGAAGGACCTAAATAAGAAGGGACTCTTTCCATGTTCTTCTTTGTCACTATTTTGAACACATGTGATTGGTTAACACAAGGAAAACATGTGTAAGAATGGATGTGACAGTCTTTCTTGGTCATTTATGTTTCTTAGAAACAAGTTTTCTCCATTTGGGGTAAGTTTTAATTCCAACACAAAGTGTAGTGTCTTAGTCACAGACGTAACACATTCACCTCGTACGCATCTACATCAAGTGTTTCTCAACTCTCAAGCATCGTGAGCTCACTGCAATTCTGTGCTGCAGGGACATTGCGAACACTAAACTTAAACGCGAAGGCAAGAAACAGCAGTGATACCTACTGTATGAAGCTCATCTGCTCATGTAAATGTCCATTGTCTCATCAGACTTTACCTTGGAAACAAAAGTTCAAAGACAAAGTGATTAAGAATTTTAAAATGGAAACATTGGAGTGTTAAACCAAGTTCAAGGCCCTTCTGAGCGTGGGGTCTTCTGCAACTATGTTGGTCACAGCCCATGAAGCTGTTCTTGGTAGAGAGAGTTTCTTCCCTCCCTCCCTCCCTCACTTACTTACTTACTTTCTTTCTTTCTTTCTTTCTTTCTTTCTCTTTCTTTCTTTCCTTCTTTCTTTCTTTCTCTCTTTCCCTCTTTCTTTCTTTCTTTTTCTGTCTTTTCTTTCTCTCTTTGTCTTTTTCTCTGTCTTGTCTTTTTCATTTTCCTTTTCTTCTTTCTTTCTTTTTCTTTTCTTTCTTTCCTTTCCTTTCTCTTTCTTTCTTTCATTCTTTCCTTCTTTCTCTTTTCATTCTGTCTCTTTTCCTCTTTCTCTTTCTCCTCTTCCTTCTCTCACTCTCTTCTCTTTCCTTCTCTCTTCTCTTTCCCTCTCCCTCCCTCCATTTTTCTCACTTCCTGTCTTCTGAAGTTAAAACCCAGTTTGTCAATTAAAGTCTGCAGTTACCACCTCCAGACACTAGATGGTGGTGATGCATCAGAAAGGTAAAATGTAGTTAGCGTCAAATTGCTCTTGGGAGTGAATTTAAAGGCTTGTAGAAATCCAGGCAGTATCTGGTAAGCATTTTCGAACGAAGGTCATAAAATGTCAATAAGAAGAAAAAAAAAAGACAAAAAAAAAGACTTTGTGTAGCATTTTCTTCGAGTTTTTAGTCAATTAGAGTAAGTTTTTAATTTCTGTATGTGTACCACAGCCACAGAGCATCTTTATGTTTTCTAGTTTCTGTTTCTTTAAAGTGGAGAGGGAACCTAAAGGATTGGGAACGCTGATTCCTTGATTCTTATCAATTCTTTCCTTATCTTTTACTTTTGCTTTCCTAGCACATAATTTGACTTTTAAAAATTATAGAGTCATTCAAGACATCTGAGTCAATTTTCATAGAAACCACAAAATCAATTAATCAATGCACATTTACTAAGTGTCTACTATATGCCAGGCACTATTCAAGATATGAGGGTACAATAGTAAATTAAAAAGTAAAAGTATCTCTTTTTGTGGAGCTTCGATTCCAATATCATTTCCTTTTTAGATTATTTTGCACTCATATTTCGCTGGCTTACATATTATTTCATGAATTTATAAAATCATTGCAATACATATATCATGCAGATGTAACTTTGGGAATTTCTTTAGAGGACACTGGGTAAACACAGAACTGAACTGTTGGGAGCCAAAGGTTTGGAGCATATTAGCGATGAGTTTTCATTATATTGGGACAATTGGCATTATTGTAATAGAAGGAAGGAAACCCTTTGTCTATGAATCTTACTGTATGGATCAGGGCTGGGATTTGGGGAGTGTAGTCTTCCAAAGAAGAGTCCAATGTGTCCCTGAGACTCTTTCAAGGGAGTTTAGGGTTAAACTAGTTTTTATAATAGTAATAACGTATTGTCTACCTTTTTTTTTATCTTTATGACACTTCAATGACAGTACAAAAGTTATGGTAGATTAAATTGCTAGTACCTTAATGTGAATCAAATGAATGGTCCCAAAATATGCTAGTGGTCACTATAGTCTTTACTGCTATACACTCTTAAGAGCTTGAGAATATCCTTGATAAAGCAGTGATAAAGACTGCTTTTATTGAATCTTGACCCTCAAGTAAGTTTCTCTTAATAATCTGTGTCACAAAATAGAGAGTATGCATAAAATACTTCTGCAACATACCAGAGCACAATGGCTGTCTTCAGGAAAAGGACTTCTGGCATTGTTTGGGATGTTGACTGAAGTTGCTATTTTCTTTTCATGAAATACCATTTTGACCTAAAATAATAACTGACAGAAAAGTTATTCAGATATGAATATTAGGTCTTTTTTTCAAAAATTAGCAAAGTAAATCTATAATCAAAGGAAAACTGACATTATTTGTTGCCAAAGAAAAACATTGAGCTTTCATGTAAAAATTAGAATTTTGGTAAATTTGCACCTACCACTATTAGATCAACAAATACTTGATATAAAACTCGTTTTTTGTTAAACCGGTTAGGCATTTAACAAAGCGGACATTTTGATATCATATAATGAAATGTGTCACTACTTAGAAAATTGGTAAAATTCAGTGAACCAGTATTTTCCAGATGACCAATGTATTATGTTACAAAATCAGGCTTGGGTAAAAATTCCACTAAATAGACAAACCAGTGGTTTTAATGCAACCACGTAGGAAAGGTTCGTTTATAGGTTTCAGATTACACATTGCAACTAATCTTAAAAAATTGTGCTGGCTTTCATTGTAATATCAAAGAAGAATATTCAAAATTAGCTAAAAAGGCTAAAATAGTCTTTCCTTTGCCAACTATATCCAACTTGTATCTGTGTGAGTCCAGATTTTTCTCATGTTTCAACTAAAACAACACACTGCAAGGAAATAAAATCAGAAATAATTGTCACACTACAATTGCCTTCTGTTAAGGTTGATTTGAAAGAGATTTGAAAAAGCGTCAAACAATGTTACTCTTCTTACTAATTGGAATGTTTTGTTTTAAGAATTTTTTAAATAAAATATTACTTCTGTTAATGTGATGAGTTCATTATTGTGAAGCAAATTAATTAATATTTAAATAATTTATCTTAATTTCTCATTAATATGTATATATTTTATATGTGTATACATATATACACAATAGCTCTCTAGGGTCTTCACTAATTTTAAGAACGTAAGGGTTGTCAAGATCAAAAAGCTTGAAACTCACTGGATTTTATTATAAAGGAGATCAGTTAATAAGGTTTAGCTTCTTTTATAACAGAGACTCTAATAAATATAAAGTTCACATTACAGACCATAATGTTCTCAAATTATCTTCTACACTTTAATCATATGAGGATTTTTCTGAAAATAAGTATTTTTGAATCTTGCCCATTCCAAAAGATTCAAGTGTGTTAGTATGGGGTGAAACCAAAAAATCTGCATTTGTTTTCTTTTCTTTCCTTTTCTTTTGTTTGAGACAGAGTCTTGCTCTGTCACCCAGGCTGGAGTGCACTGGGGTAGTCTCAGCTCACTGCTACCTCCACCTCCTGGGTTCAAGCAATTGTCCTGCCTGAGCCTCCCAAGTAGGTGGGATTACAGGCACTTGCCACCACGCTGGGCTAATTTTTTTGTATTTTTAGTAGAGAAGGGGTTTCACTATGTTGGCCAGGCTGGTCTCAAACTCCTGACCTCAAGCAATCCACCTGCCTTAGCCTTGCAAAGTGCTGGGATTACGGGCATGAGCCACTGCACCTGGCTAAAATCTGCACCTTTTTAAAACACATTTTAGGTGATTCTGAGGTTCTTAAAGCTTAACGCCCTGTGAACTATTACTATGAAATAATAGTTTTAATACTAGTCTTGTAAAAATAATTTTAGCAGTGTGAAAGCAATGTAAGCTCATTATAGAGTATTGGGAAAATGCAAATTAACTAAAAGAATCGTAATACAAATCACATGCAAAATCTCTCATCTGTAATCTCATTATCTAGTGTATTCGTTTTTTCACTGCTATAAAGAAATATCTGACAACTGGGTAATTGATAAAGAAAAGAGGTTTAAGTGAGGTTCAGTACTGCAGGCTGTGCAGGAAGCATGATGCCAGCTTCCGCTGGGTTTCTGAGCAGGCCTCAGGAAACTTACAATCATGGCAGGAGGTGAAGGGTTAGCAGGCCCATCTTACATGGCTGGATCATGAACAAGAGAGAGGAGGGAGGCGCTACGCACTTTTAAACACCAGATCTTATGGGAACTCACTGACTATACAGTACTAAGAGAGGATGGTGCTAAACCATTCATGAGAATTCTGCCCCATGATCCCATCACCTTCCTCCAGGCCCCTCCTCCAACACTGGGGGTTACCATTCCACTTCAGATTTGGGCAGAGACACGGATCCAAACCATATGACCTAGAAATAACTGTTATTGACACTGACTGTTGACTCAGTCTTAGATATGTGTATGGGTGTGCATTTCTGAATGTTCAGAAATAGTGAGGTATGGTTTGCTTTTAATTACTTAACAATATTTAATTAACCTCTTTCCCTGCTGTTGACTGTCTGCGTAAACCTGTGCTTGTAAAACCTGGCTATTTCAGAATTACCTAGGGAGCTTTTAAACATACTGCTGCCTAAGCCCCCTGCCCAGTGACTCTGATTTAATTTGTGAATTATTTCCTATTGGAACAATCAGTAGAAACTGGAATAAATGGGTTTCACAGTCTTTATTTGGGGGAGGGCTTTAATATTGCTCTCCAGAATACTCTATTGATTTGCATTCTCATTAGGGAACATGAGAGAGCTCAGCTTCTCAGTAGCAGTCACTCATACCAAGTTTTAAAAACCTTTGCCAAGCTGAGTGTGGAAAACTTTGGCCACATGCATAAATTTGCAATAGTTTGAATATGTGATAGTGCTGAACTTTTGTGTTTATCATCTAAGTACACTTCTTCTTCCTTGAATGGCCTTCTTGCCTCAAACCCTAACCTTTAGAGGTTGATGAAAAAGAGCAAGGGCCTGTCCTTCCCAAATCTCCCCTGAAGCCACTGCCAAATATAGGATTCGTTACAGTCTGTATCATCGATGTGCCAGTATGTAGATTCTTCTATTTATTTTCATTGAATCATAACTTATCTTCGCTAAATAACTAATCTTAGCTAAATCTTAAACACCACAAAAAGTGTATTAAAATGGAATTTATATCTTGATCCTAGCCACCATCCTTAATCCTATCCTCGACCTAAATATTATATGTTTTATTTTGATTAATTTACAATGTATTAGTCATAGGGTTATAAACGTCAATTAAAAGTTTTGGAGAAATTATGTGCTTGAACAGGAATTGAATTGTCGGTAACTATATTGTAGCATTGTTTGTTATCACTGGAAAATGTCTTGCAAAATTCGGATCGGCCTTTAATGAAAAGTTGGGTCTTTTCCTTTTGTGGTCTTATCTCAAATCACCAACATTGTGAGTCATCAGAAGTGAAAGCCTTAGAATTCTATCAAGTGAATTACATGCTGGCAAAAACCATCACTAGGCTGCCTTTGGAATTTAACATTACTATTATGTTACCGGGCATGTTCTGCCTTTGAGCTTATGAAAACTGAAGGGAGAGTATTTCTGGGAAAAATTCCTAAGACTCAGGCCTCTGTTGGCATTTGCAATAATACAACCACAATTTGACCATATGTTTTCTTTAAGTATTTTTGATAACTTTTTAGAGTTGGCCTCAGTCTGTGTTGAAAACAAAATCTACTTGGTGGCTAGAAGGGATGCCTAGAGATGAGAGAACCAGAATTGACCTTCTAGTCAAGGCAGATTTTAAGCTGAACCCCATGACTATAATCTATCCTGCAAGTATGGACACTGTTGAGGGTAAAATGGGGCAATGTTTTGACATGGGAATAGCAAGCATAAATCAGAATGGGCTAGGTATATAGTGAGCACGAAGTACAGAGACTTGATACCCAGATCAAGAATGGAGATGCCGGCTGGGGACAGTGGCTCACGCCTGAAATCCCAGCACTTTGTGAGGCCAAAGCAGGCGGATCACTTGAGGTCAGGAGTTCAAAACCAGCCTGGCCAACATGGTGAAATTCCGTCTCAACTAAAAATACGAAAGTTAGGTGGACATGTTGGCATCCCTTATTCCCAGCTACTCAGGAGACTAAGGCATGAGAATCGCTTGAGCCCAGGAGGCAGAGGTTGCAGTGAGCCAAGATTGTGCCACTGTACTCCAGTTGGGTGACAGAGCAAGACTCCGTCTCTAAATAAATAAATAAATAAATAAAATAATGGAGATGCCTAGGAAGTTGCATCAAAGTTAGATCTTGAGGGAGGTGGGAGAGCATACCAGATAAAGTCGGGAGCGGGATTTCCCAAGAGAGGCCATAGCATGGACCTCTGCATGATTGTTCAGGCCCCTGTGGACATGCTGACATATCTCTGTGAATAGTGGCAGTGCAGCCTTTGATGTCTAGGGTAGCAGAGATTAAAGAGGGCCACTCTCTGCCGGGTTTATATGCCCTGGGAGACTGATCCCAATTGACCTACTCTCTCCTTTCCTCTCTATGAAAATAAAATGATAATAGCAAACTAATTCCTGCTGGTATTCCTGAAATAATCCAACAAAAGTGAAAAAAGAAATCAGAAGGACCAGTAAATCCTTCTTCTCTCTACTGTTTAACACCAAACTATATTACTGTATGTATTCAAAATATCTTATATTTGCAATAATCATATCTACGATGACTATTGAAAAATAATGAAAACCACTGGCTTCCTATTATGAAAACAATATTACACAATGTGAAATTTATTAATTTTATTAATCTAAGAAGTGCCTTAATATTTAGTTGATAACTTATTGACAGTATTTATTGTAAAAATAAATGTGTATATTTTTATCTTTTCTTTCTGCTTTAGATATGTTGTGGAACAATGTTGAGTCTAAATAAACTACAAATTATATATTTTTGATATGTCTATGTATTATCTTATTCAATGAATACAAATTAACTTTTTGTTTTGTGAATTGCGAATGAAATAGTAAAGTGAGTCATTTTGCATATAATGTTGTTAACACCAACTCTGTGTCAAAAGCCCAACATTTACAAGTCAAAAGTTACTGCATTTAAGATGATTACTAAATAGTGAAGATGAGGTAACACAAAAATCAAACTAATAACAATAATGTATTTCAATTTACATTTTGTGACTCTGTGCAAGGAGATATTGTAGCTTTAGACAGAGTATATAAAATTAGAATATATATACAAAAGGATATATATATATATATATATATATATATATATATAATATAATCACATAGAAACTGATGTCGTTACAAAATGAATGACTTAGGAGTAGGCAAATTTCGACCTTTGATATAGGCCTTGAAAGATCCTTGAAAGGTGTGTATTTTGTATTGGCAAGGAGGAAGGAAGGCTTAGGATAAGCTGTAGTCATGTGAAAGCATTGGATATTGGGACTAAATTGGTCTTCTGGTTCATCTGAAGAAAGAACAGAGAAAGGAAAATTCCAACAGTAGTTAGAAAAGCCTTGTTTATTTTTCTCCCTTCCTCTCTCCTTTCCCAAGCGTTTCACTAGGAAAGAAAATAGCTCTTCTATGGTACCCATGTAATACTAATTTCTCAGCGTTGTCATTCTAGGAACTGCCAATGATTGATGACAATCTATTTAGATTCAGTTCTTTAAAGGACAAAGCAAACCACTTCAGTGACTGAATTTTTTTTTAACCTGCAATGTGTATTGTTTGATTATGTTTGCATAATTTATCAAGAGACTTCAGAATCTCCCCGTCACCTGCTCCTCAGATCAGAAGGTGATTGTGGCTTTGGGTGGATATTAATCAGCCACAGCACTGCCTGGTCAGAAAGAGCAAGTGTCCTAGCCTTTACCTCATGAGACCTTGGGTATCCATCCAGCGTAGGTCCCAAGGGAACTGCATTTGGTGGACTGGAGTGGCCAGCATGCTTCAGGTGAGATGAAAAGTGCCATGTTTAACCTGTGTTTGGAAGCTTGTCTTTCTCATAAAATACCTAGTTGTTTCCTCACATGAGCATTTTGATCATTACCTCCTCTTCCCCACTCTTTAACATTTTTATACCATAAAGAGAAAATAACTTGGGATTCCATGCAGACATTTGAAATTCATGGGCAAAATCTTCAAACTGCAAATAGTACAAGTTTTATATGCATGCTTTAATTTGACTTTCTTCAAATATGAATGCTGCTATAATGCACACATGCAAAGGCCGCTATTGGAATATACTTTCTATGTATCCTCAGAAGCAGAGCTGGCCTCTGGCTGGTAAGTGTGGCTGCCTCATCAGCAGTATATATCTGATCATCTCAACAGTGTTTTCCATTCCTAGTAAAGGAAAAGCCCCATAGAAATAGTAACATATGTGTTTAGGAGCTAACGCTTCAGGAGAGTTTAGACGAGGAGATTCTGGGAACAATACCACAGGAATCCAGGAAAGACTTTGATGCAGAGAAAGGCTATTACTCCATGAAACACTACAGATGGGAGGTGAGCCAAAGAAAATTTTTTGTACTTTGCAATGTTTCCTTAATATGGTCCTGCTCCAACATAATGTAATTATACAAGCTGTGGTTGCCAAAAACTAAATATGAACAAAAATGGAAAAGACAAGATGTTTGTAGGGGAGACTATAGGCATCTGGCGTGCAGGGAAAAAAGTCAATAAATTGTTCAACTGAGGTGAAAATTAATTCTAGAATATTTTCAGGCAATTGTTGGTAGGGTGTTTGTTACTTTGGGCTGGTGTGTACTCGATGGCAACTTTTGTTGAATTAATTTTTGATTTTGATTAGACTTTTACTCAATCACATATAATAAGTACAGCTTCCTTTCTTGAGTTACAGTTTACTATTTCCTTAATATTTAGAAGCATAAGAATATTCTGTAGCCATATATCAACTGAGATATCTTTGAATATTTTTTGTCCTATAAATTATTTACAAAGTATTATGACTGTAGAATACATTTTACCTTGATGAACTATTTCTACCTTTCAGATGGTTCTTGGACTTGAACATAAGGCAATATAGTACATGCTCCAAATATTTACAGAAATTATTTTGTATCACTGAAAAAATATTGCGCTTGAGATTTTGTGATTTTATTTCTGGAGCTGACTTGGCAGGAGAAGTCTTAAAGCATTGCCTCTTTAAAAAAATAATAATTTGATCAAAGAAGTTTAGGGACCAACAGTGTACTAACTTAAAAAATGAAAACAATGGAATCTTTAACCTGAGGGGACAAGTTGATTGCTAAAGTTTGTTTCCTAGAAAGGAAAAAAACAAAGGTCAAAGATGAGTTTAATAAACTTTCTTATGTCAAATACACTTCTTCTGTGTGTTATCAAGAATCTCAGCTATCATCACTCTTCTTTAATAAAACTGGTTATCCTGCATATAACACTGTTTTGTTCTCGGAGGAAAAGTCATGAAATGAGAGAAGATGGGCACAATATCCTTTCCCCACCATCTTAGATTCCCTGGAAAGTATTCGCTCTGAAGTCCAAACATCTCCAGCATTAGACTATGATAATAATGACACAAAGGATAGATATATATAAATGGAAAATCATGTTCTATAAATGGATTACCTCTAAGATACAAAAGTATTAAAATATATTTTCTTTGTGAAATACAATGCCCATCTATTTAATTGGTAATGTGTTTTGACAGGACAGTAAACAGCATGATAAAACCATTTGGGTTTCAAAATCTTCAACAACTCATTATTTACAAAGGCTTGAATAAATCTTTGATAGTCTTTTGGTAAAGGTACTGTTGTATTGCAGGAAGCCAAAGTTAAATATCAGTGTATTAATTTCTTTTCCAGATAGATGTGATCATATCACTACCTTGAATACTTTTTTCTTTTTTCTTTTTTTCTTTTTTTTTTTTTTTTTTTTTTGAGATGGAGTCTCGCTCTGTCGCCCAGGCTGGAGTGCAGTGGCATGATCTTGGCTTACTGCAAGCTCTGCCTCCCAGGTTCATGCCATTCTCCTACCTCAGCCTCCCAAGTAGCAGGGACTACAGGCGCCTGCCACGATGCCTGGCTAATTTTTTGTATTTTTAGTAAAGAC
Source organism: Homo sapiens (assembly GCF_000001405.40). Taxonomy (NCBI): domain Eukaryota; kingdom Metazoa; phylum Chordata; class Mammalia; order Primates; family Hominidae; genus Homo; species Homo sapiens. The sequence goes on along the minus strand of NC_000008.11, from coordinate 14,851,196 downwards.
AGCGTTTCACTATGTTAGCCAGGATGGCCTCGATCTCCTGACCTCGTGATCCGCCCGCCTTGGCCTCCCAAAGTGCTGGGATTACAGGTGTGAGCCACTGCGCCCAGCCTTGAATACATTCTTTAAAAGCTTTCTTCCACTTGCAGACTAAATGTCATACTCTACAGCAATAGCATATTACTCTGTATTAGTCTGTTTTCATACAGCTATGAAGAATTGCCCAAGACTGGTCATTTATAAAGGAAAGAGGTTTAATTGAATCACAGTACGGCTGGAGAGGTGTCAGGAAACTTAAAATCCTGGTGGAAGGCGAAGGGGAAGCAAGGCATCTTCTTCAGAAGGTGGCAGGAAGGAGAAGTACTGAGTGAAGCAAAAGATCCTCTTTTAAAACTGTCAGGTGTCCTGAGAACTCACTCACTATCATGAGAACAGCGGTGGGGAAACTGCCGCCATGATTCAATTACCTCCACCTGGTCTCTCCCTTGACACATGGAGATTATGAGGATTACAATTCAAGATGAGATTTGGGTGGGTACACAAAGCCTAACCATGTCATACATGTTAGCCATGATCATTAAATTCTTTCCTTTTTCACTTAGTTATTTTAGTTCCTATTCTATGAAGTAGCTCCATGTCTTGTATATAATAACCTTTACCTCCCAAAGCTTATCCTTTAAAACTCAGCATATTTGGTTCTTATTCCATGAAGCCTTCTCACACGTTTCTCACTTGTGTGCTCCACCATCTCGCCAATCAAAACTAACCATCCCTTTGTTTTCTCCATCTTCTGTCTTTCTAGTTACTGAGTATTGTGTATGCAATACTGTATGCTAATGTTTCTTTACCTCCTTCTCTCCTTTAAAGTCCTGAGACTCCTTGACAACCATGACTATGCCATTCTCATGATTATAACTTCACGGCCCAGCACAGTGCATGCATATTTTAACTGTTCAGTAAATTGTTATTGAATGAACATTTGAATGAAAAACTTACACTAATATTATGTAATGAAATTTAACACTGAGATAATATGAGATACTTTGAAGTAAAGCAAACATCATGAATCTAATAGTGTGAAGGCATTGAAAATAAATTTTTTTCTTTGGTCATAAAGAGAGATATATTTCAGCCTATATATAGAAGAGAGCGAATGGGTATAACAGTTTGCAAAAATCCATAATAGGGCTATTCAGTAGAATGTTCTGTTCTCAATGCCTATGTAAAAAGAAACCAAAATTTATGTTTAACTTTCTGTATTAAGGTGATTTGAAGATAAAGAAATAAAAGAGACATTTTGCTTTTTAAAAAGTGCCTAATTTAAAAAGTTTCTATCGTAGATAGTACTTGGAGTGCTATAATTTCCAATTTGAATTTCATTTTTTTCTTATAACAACTTTATTGAAGCACAGTTTTCCATATTTAAAATGTACTAATTGATACTTTTTGACATAAGTATACATTCATTAAATAGACACCACTGTAAGATACGGAACTTATGCATTACCAACAAAGACTCCTGATACTTCCTCAGAACCACTCTGCCTGGCCTCACCCCACGTATAGCTGAGAAAAGCCCTGATCTGCTTCATTTCGTGATAGATTAGTTTGCATTTTCTTCAGTTTTATAGAATATAAATCATACAATATGTTCTCTGGAATGTCTGGCTAATTATTTTGAGATCAAACCATGTTGTAGTATATATCAATAGTTTATTCTGATTCTGTTTATTGATGAGTAGTATTCCATTCTATGGAATCTATTCACCTGTTGTTTCCGGCTTTAGGTTATTACAAAAAAAAAGCTGCTATGAAAATTAGTGTGAAATCATTTTTATTGAGATACAATTATTTTTTTCTTGGTGAGATATCTGGGAGTGGAATGGTTGGATCATATGGTTGCTGTATACAGTCTTTAAGTTTTTAAAGAATTTGATAAATTCTTTTTAAAAAAGATTTCTTGTTTTACATTTCCACCAGTAGAGTGTAAGAAGTTCAGTTCCACTACATATTTAACACTGGTCGACACAAGCAGTCTCTTTAATTTTAGATATTCTAGTATGTGAGTTGTACCTAATTGTGATTTTAAATTGCATATTTTAATAAATAATGATGTTGCACATCTTTCCTCACGTTTATTTTCCATCCATATACCTTATTTGGTGAACAATCTGTTCACATATTTTACTAAATTTTTAATTAAATTGTTGGCTTTCTTATTATTGTGTTTTGACAGCTCTTTACATATTTTGATAGAAATCCTTTACACAGATTTCATCCTTATAGCTTGTAGCTTGTCTTTGCATTTTCTTAACCATGTCATTTAAAGAGCAAAAGTTTTCAGTTTTTCTGATATCCATTTTATCCTTTTGTCCTTTTATTGATTGTGCTTCTGGGACGGTTCTTAAGAAATCTTTGCCTAATCCATTGTGACGAAGTTTTATTCTATGATTTTTAAAAAGATTTTTATTGCTTTAGGATTTACATTTTTGCTTAAATGCTGTAATAAATTTTGTAGATAGTGGGAGAGAAGATCAAAGCTTACTTCTTACATATGGTTATCCAGTAGTCCCAACACCACTTGTTGAAAGATTATCCTTCTTTTATGGAAATACCTTTGCATCTTTGCAAGAAATTTCCATACGTGTGTGGGTCTATATCTAATCTGTCTATTCTCTTCTATTGATCAATATGTCTATTATTTTCTCTAATACAACAGTGTGTTGATTATAAGAGCTTTATAATGTCTATTGAAATGAGATAGTGTTAATCCTCCTATTTGGTTCCTCTTTTTAAACGTTGTTTGGCTATTTTAGGCCCTCTGCATTTAAATATGAATTTGAAGTGATTTTGTCAATTTCCACAGAAAAGTCAAATGACTGATTGACATTGAATTGAAACTATGGACCCATTTGGGGAGAATTTATATCTAAATAATATTGAAATTTCCTACCCATTAACACCAGCTATGGCTTCCTTTATTTTGCCCTCTTTCATTTCTCTAAACAATGTTTTATAGTTTTCAGTGTCTAACATTATTTACCATATTTACCATAAGAATTTTATAATTTTATGCTACTGTATATAATATTTTTAAAATTTTATTTTCAGCTGTTTGCTAGTATGGAAATACATTTAATATTGATATTTTAACTTGTCTTTCTAAATTCACTTATTATTTCCAGTAACTTCTTTGTAGGTTATATTTAATTTTCTACATGGATGATTATGTTGTCTATGAATAATGACATCTTTGTTTTCCAATCTGGATGCCTTCTGTTTGTTTGTGTTGCCTGATTTCACTGCCTAGTACCTCAAGTACAATGTTGACTAGAGATGGTGGGAGCAGACAGCTTGACTTACTTGTGATATTAGAGAGAAAACAGTCAGGTTTTTTTTTTTTTTTTTTTTACCATTAACTATGATGTTAGCTGCGGCTCCCCTCCCTCCTTCCCTCTCTCCCGCCTCCCTCCCTCCCTTTCCTCCTCCCCTCCCTCCTCTCCTCCCCTCCTCCCTCCCTCCATCTTTCCTTCCTTCCCTCCCTGCCTCCCTCCCTCCTTCCTTCCTTCCCTCTTTATAAAGTTATTTCCTTTCTTTTCCTACTTTCTGATAATTTTTAATAGAAAAAGACATTTTATTAAGCACATTTTCTGTATCTATTGATATTATCTTATGTATTTCCTTTTTTTTTACTTGTTAATATGGTGAATTACATAGATTCACTTGAGAATTTTTAGTCATCCTTGCATTCCTGCAATGAAGTCAACTTACTCATATATTGTTATCCATTTTATATCTTGTTTGATGGACTGAATTTACTAAAATGAATTTAGAGTTTTTGGTGTCTATGTTCATGAGGGATATTGGTCCACAAACTTCTATTTTAGATAATGCCTTTATCAAGTCTTCATATCAGCATATCAGGGTAATATTGAGTTCATAAAATGAATTGGAAAAACAGGACTTTCCTCTTTTAATGTCTTGAAAAGTTTTTGTAGAATTGGTATTTTTCTCTTCTTCTTCTTCTTCTTCTTCTTCTTCTTCTTCTTCTTCTTCTTCTTCTTCTTCTTCTTTCTTCTTCTTCTTCTTTCTTCTTTCTTCTTTCTTCTTCTTCTATTTTGTCTTGTAGAGATGAAGTCTTGCTCTGTCACCCAGGCTGGAGTGCAGTGGCACAATCTTGGCTCACTGCAATCTCCGCCTCCCAGGTTCAAGCAATTCTCCTGCCTCAGCCTCCCAAGTAGCTGGGATTACAGGCATGTGCCACCACGCCCAGCTAATTTCTTTTGTATTTTAGTAGAGATGTCGTTTCACCGAGTTGCCCAGGCTGGTCTCAAACTCCTGAACTCAGGCAATCCACCCGACTCGGCCTCCCAAAGTGCTAGGATTACAGGAGTGAGCCACTGCTTCTGGCCTGGTATTCTTCTCTTCTTATCTGTGATTGAATTGACCACTGTAGCCAAATGGGTCTGACTTTTTTTTTTTTTTTTTTTTTTTTTGGATTTAAAGGGTTTTAGCTACAAATTCATTTGTTGAAATATATACAGAGATATTCAGATTTTCTATTTCTTCTGGAGGGATTTTTAAGTAGTATGTATTTTTAAAGAGATCTGACCATTTCTTATAGGTCTAGATTGTCAAACATATTGGTATAAAGTTGTTCATATGTTTTAATTTTTCTTTTGTTATCCGTGGAGTCTATAGTGATGTGACTTTTCTCATTTCTAATATTAATGATTTATTTCTTCTTCCTGTATGTTCCTGATCAGTCTTGCTGGGATACGTTAACTTATCTATTCAGAGATCCAACTTTTGATTTTTTTTAATTGTATATATTAAGTTTTTGGTCCAATTCCATTGATTTTTCTCTTTTTGTTTTTGTTATAACTGTTCTATGTGCTTTGGGTTTAATCAACACTTCCTCATATATTCAGGTGAATTCCAAGGTCAATTTGCAAACTTTCTTCCTTTCCAACATAGATATTTAGTGGATACAGCATTCCATAAACATAAATTAGGCAAGTTGGTTGATAGTATTTTTTTCTGGTCTGTTATGTACTGACTACCTTACTGTATTTTTGTTCAATAAAATTATTGAGAGAGGTGTTTTGAAATCTTTTGCTATAATTATATATTTGTCTATTTCTTCTTTCTGTTTTTGCTTCATGTATTTGAAACCCTGTGGTTGGGTGTATACATGTTTAAGCTTATAATGATTCCATGTGAACTGACCCGTTTATCATCAAGAAATGCATTTTTATCCCCGCTAATAGTCTTCTTTGAGGACCACTTCGTCTGATATTAATGTAGCCATTTTTGCTTTGTTTTGATTCATGTTAGCTTTCTTTGTAGAAAACATATAATTATATCTGACTTTTTATCTTTTTATGTAATCTGGTAGTTTCTTTTTCTTTGTTTTATCTGGATATTTTTATTACTGCACCTGTAAGTTCACTAGTCTTTTCTTCTCAATATCTAAACTGCCATTAATTCCTTTCTGTGAATTTTTCATTCAAGATGTTGTAGTTGTCATCTCTGAAAGTTCAATTTGGGCATCGTTTTTCCATCTTCCATGTCTCTACATAAATTTTACAACATATAAAGTTAAAATGACTGTATTCGTGTTTCTGTCTACAAATTCTAACATCTTTGTCAACTTTAGGTCAGTTTCTGTTCACTTTTCTACTTATTGTAAGCCATCTTTTCCTGCTTATTATGTGTCACATTTTCCTGCTTGTGTGTGTCTGATAATATTGGATTAGTTTTCAGGCATTGTGAAATTTACTATTTGGGTGCTGCTTTTTGTATTTTTGTATAACAAAAAGCTTTGTTTGGTATACAACTGAGTTATGTAGAAACATTGTTATTTCAATTTTGCCTTTAAGAATTGTTAGGCATGTCTGGAGCAGTACTCAGTGTAGGAATAATTATTCCCTACTACTGAGACAAGATGCATCTGTGTGTTTTACTGATTGCCCATGAGTCATAAGTTTTTCCATCCTAGCTGGTAAGAATAGGCACCATTTCTTAGCCCAGTGTGAGTGCTGGGCACCATCATCTCATTCATTTAGGTGTTCTTTCCCTGTCCTTCAGTGGTTTTCTTTACTGATCAGGTGAATACTGAAGTGGAAACCTGAAAATTTCCAGAATTCACCCTCTATGCAGCTCTTGTCTCTTCTGAAGTCTATCTTGTAAATTCTAGCTGCCTTTTCCACCTAAACTCTCAGCCATTCTTGTCAACTCAGAGAACCTCCTGGGCTCTGCCTGGGTATTCCCTCCCTGCATCTGAAAACTCTGTCACAGCTGTAAGATGAGACTTGCATTGTAAGGCTTGCATTGTATGTTTCCAGTCTTTCAGAGGTCACTGTCCTATATGGCCTAATGTCCCAAATGTTGAAACTGTTGTTTCAGATAATTTCTCTGTTGATTGTTTCAGGGAGAAAGGTAAACTCAGCTCCTGTTATTCCATACTTCTAGAAGCAAAAATAAGGACCTTATGTTTTTAGACATTTAGGTTTTAAAAATATGTTTGTTAGCTGTATTAGTCATCTTTAGGCTCATGTGCTCGGAAAAAAACAGGCCCCAAATCTCCTCATGTTAGGACAACAGTTTATTTCTCATGTTTCATGTCAGCTGGATGAGAGGAGCCCGCATACTATGGCAAACAATTTTCATGGTAAAGGGGATAGAAGTGAAACAGTTGGAACAAATGACACCATAGCATTTGAAGCTATTTCCCGAAGTCACGTTTGTTACATGCTGTTGGAAATCATAGTTGTAACACAAGTACACTCATTCCACAGGGGTATGGCAAAGCACATGGCAGTAGGAAAGGATATATTATTCTCTCATAGGGAAGGGACAAGAGAATAATTAGGGAAAGAAAAGAATCTACTGTTGTTTCCACTCTCTAAAGTATGTGAGAAGATATATAACAGTGAATCGTTGTAGGGTTGTTTTTCTAGATAGCACTTATATGCTTACAGTGGAAACAGGTAAAGTATATGGGGGAATGTGTGTAGGTTATATGTAAATACTATGCCATTTTATATGAGAAACTTGAGTGTTTGTGAATTTTGGTACAGTATACATGGAGGTCCTGAAACCATGAATACCAAGGGTCAACTGTATAAATATAATATGTACATATAATTTTTAAAATGTGAATTATATAAATATTATTTATATGATATATAAATATATATTTTCCTGGAACACAAAACATAGCTTCCCCATGATATCAAATCTTCTTTCCTTCCTAAATTTTTTTCTTATTTCAGGCATAGTACAGTGTTCATCAGAGGCTGATATTTGGGTGGCCTTCTCTTGAACAGAACTAAGACTAGACTGGGAACCCAAGTAATATTGATTTTTGATTAGGCTTAAAATTAGATAAGGCAATGTAAGGCAATTAATGAGTTAAAAGTGCTATCTATAAATATTTATGAAGTTCTTGGCAGTGTTTTATAAAGACCACGTTTATTCATCTTTAGCATTTAATTTGCAATTTTTTTAGATCATATCCTATGTTTTGGATGTGCTTTGTATGTGTGTCTATAAATCATGTGTCTCCATGTATCTGTGGGCAAAAACACACTTGCACATGTAATATATTTTTTATTATTGTAAATAAAATAATTGATTTTATTCTAGAAGAAATAACACTATTTAATTTAGTGTTTATCACAGATAAATGGATAGACAATGATGAACAGGCATGTAGTAAGCACTTAACAAGATTCCAGACATTCTACAAGGTACATACAAAATACTAAGTCATTTTCAGAAAATAGATACCTGAAATTCTAATTGGCCTGTGTTGATTTCACTAGTTTTATGACATTAAGCCAGAAATAATCAAAGAGTTTTAATAATGTACTCATAGGTCGTGTTTTAAACCCCCATATTAAAAAAAAAGACTTAACTTCCTGTCCTTGTTGCAAATAAAATATCTATGTACATAGAAACTAGTCTTCTTTTTTTCTTTTTTTAAAACCAACTCTCACTTTGTTGCCCAGGCTGGAGTGCAGTGGTGCAATCTCAGCTCACTGCAACCTCCACCTCCTGGGTTCAAGCAATTCTCCTGCCTCAGCCTTCCAAGTAGCTGGGATTACAGGTGCATGCCACCACACCCAGCTAATTTTTGTATTTTAGTAGAGATGGGGTTTCACCACTTTGGCCAGGCTGGTCTCAAACCTTTGACCTCAGGAGATCCGCTCGCCTTGGCCTCCCAGAGTGCTGGGATTACAGGCATGAGCCACCGTGCCCAGGCAAGGGTTCTAATAAGAGAATAAATCTCATTGGCAGATGAGAAAAATGCATGGCTCCAGACAAATTTCAGTCTCCCCTGGAGCATCCCGTTTTCAATGCTAACTTTAACAGCTATAATAGCCTCTCCTGAAATGCATTCATTTATCTAGTCTGTGCATTTTAAAATCCAGTGTACAAATCCCAAGCATGGTAATCTTTTCAAGTACATTTTCATCATGTAACTTCCAGGGCTTAAAGCATTTCAAAAGTTTCTGTTACTCTTTACATAAAGATAAAAACAATTCTTAAACAGGCTTATAAGCACTGTGTTTTGTTTCCCCTGCCTGGCACTCTACATCATCTCAAATAACTCTGCCCTATGTTCTGTGTGTCCCTGCTTTCTCTCTCCCTCCCTATTTTTGCTTTTCTTTCCTTCCTTCCTTCCTTTCCTTCCTTTCTTCCTTCCTTTCCTTCCTTTCTTCCTTCTTTCCTTTTCCCTTTTCCTGTCCTGTCCCTTCCCTTCCCTTTCTTTCCATCCTTTCTTGTTTCTCTCTCTTGTTTTGTCTTCCTTCCTTTCTTCTCTTTTTTCTTGTTTCCTTCCTTCCTTTTTTTCTCTCCTGCCTATGACATTTGCTTGTTTTGCCCTTTGAATCTCTTTATTCCACTTTGATTAATTTTCTTTCACTTATCCTTCAGATGTCAGTTTCGATATCAGAAAGGCAGGAAAACATTTGCTAATCACTGCTCTCTTGTTGGTCCTTCGAACTCCATTTACTTCAGAAGATTTATCCTGATGTGCAGTTATGTGTGTTCTGGCTAAAGTTTCATGTTTGTTTTATCATTTATCATTAAAGTTTCTGTTTTGTTTTATCATCGTCTTACTAGAATCTACCCCAGGATTTGATGAAGCTGATGTTCACCACCTATTTGCTAAATGAATAAAAATGAAGTCCACACATACTTATACCCACATAATTCAGTCCTGTACTGAATAAGTACTCTGAGATGGTGATTCTATTATGGAAGCCAAATCCATGTGAAGAGCACAGGGCTGCAGGTCAGGTGGCCTCAGTTCTCATCTTGTCCTCATTCATTAACAGTTTGATGTGATAGGGAAAAATTTTTCCAGGTCTCAATTTCCTCACTTGTAAGATGACAACATTGCATAAAATGATTTCTGAAGTCCCTTAATATTCTGTGATTTTATGTCAGTTTTAAAGAAAACATATTGATTACTTGTGCTTTCTGACAGTAATTCCATTTAGTATGGGCTTGTCCCTTCCAATAGCACTCATAACACAACTCTTGGCCATCGACATAATAACATTCCAAGTATTCCTTAGTTTAACGCCGAAATAAATTACTCATCTGGTATAAAATGTATTTTTTCTTATGGAAACCTACTATTTAAAATTATCCCAAGCTATTAAATTTCTTGCTCCAGAGTCTGAAACTCCTTACTAACCAATCATGCAATTATGTGGAGAGTAAGATTCTCAGAAAGGATAGAATTTTAGTTCTTTAAATACCATGACTATGAATCCTCCCATTACAACATTTCCCTGAATGCAAGGTGAAATCCAATAAATGAAATTCTAGATAGTAGCCTTTTGAAACTGCCTATTTATCTCTTATGTTAGGTTAGCCTGAGAGCTTCTTTGGAGCCAGTGCTTGTAGATGCAGCAGAAGAGAAGGACCAGGTGGATTGCTCTTTAGTTTACATTTGATGGTTGATACAGCCCATAACATTTAGTCTGTTTTTAACATCTTTTGGGTTTAATGTTTCAGACATGCAGCATTTAAACTTAAATAACCTAGTTTTGTAACTTGATTTTTTTTTTGTTCTTCTCAAATGCTTATTCTTAGTGTTAGCATGGATTTGGTTCTCCATTTTATTGCTACAAGACTTCAAACAAAATGTTTACACATTGATAAAATTTCTTTATTTGTAGGATGAAAATTGTAAGACTGACTTCATAGTAATAATGGGAAGTTTAAGATGACATCTTTGATGTAATAAGCTATAGTAGAGTCCCAAAATAAAATAAATATTATTATGGGAGTTGCTATTTTGCTATGTAAATAAAACACAAAAGTTATACATCAATGAATCTGACACTTCTTGAGTCTCATAAGAGGTTAAAAAGTCTCATAAAGTTAAAAAGAGTAGATGCTGTCTAATCAAATGCCTTCTTTTTTAGGTAAAACTAAGTTCTGTGAAGATTAAATGGCTTATAAAATATAGCTCCTGACAAGATAAAATTATTTAGATATCCTCAATTGATGTTTCATGCTCTACTTCTAAGTTAAGATAGTTAGAGTGCAAGAGAAACTCATTTTGGAGAAATGAGACTTGGTTTCTTTGACATTGATTCTGATTTCCCCCTCCATTAGTCCCACTTATCTGAGTACAGATTTTTAATTGGCAACACTAGAAATGATATTTTCTAGAATTTGATGAAGTACTGTGAATCACAGCTTTTCCTGGCCACGGAACGTTGATATATTGTTTTCCGCAACATTGTATTATTACAACTGAAACGTGATTAATTCATATTCAAATAAATCAATGTGAATTCACATTTGATTATTGATTCAGTTATTGATTATTTGAAACCACACTATAATCTTATGTGAATAAATATGTTTAGAATTTTAATATTGTTCTAATACCAATCCCTTGCAATATAATAGGTGGCAAGGAGACTTCACTGGCAACCCTGATTAACACTCATCTCTCTTGTATTTAAAAATCCCTTAAGCAGGAATTGTCTTTCCTTGACTTTTAAGCAGATAATTACATTCAAATCATATTAACAATATTTTATTGAACATTTACTTTCTTTAAGGTGTGTTCATTTGTAACAGTGTTTTATTAATTTAAATGTTACGACTAAGGGTGTTGTTTGGTTTCTCCGCATTACTGGTGTAGTGTAAAGTGGTGTAAAAACAAAGGCACAAAATATAAAAGTAAAAAACAAGTTGATTACATAATACTACAAATTAGAATATACATCTTGCAATATAAATATAGAAAATGTTAATATCATTTCTACTGATTTAAAATGACATTGATCCTTTTCAATCCTTGTCAAGTGGGTCAATGAAAGTAAATAAGACAGGCTAGATGAAGTAATAGATACATAAATAACTAAATGTTTGTGTCCAAATAAAATTATTTTTGTTTACAAGAAATACGTAACTAATTGAGAGAACTTAAGCCAAAAGATAACTTTCAAAATGTGATTGGACGATCTCAAAGGACAATTTAACAAAAAAGTCCTTAAAAAGAGTAGAAACTACAGTATATCAGGGAGGAAGAGCGTTCAAGACTTTCATTAGAACATTGGATGGTGGAAAAAAAGTGTTTATTGCACTACATAATGTAGATGAATAAAAGAAACTTATTGTAAAACAAATGTTAGTGCTTTGGTTATAATTACATAAAAACAATAATAACTCTCAAATTTAAATCTCTATTTAACTTTTCTCCTGAACTCCAGACATAAATCCAACTGCATACTTGACATCTATACTACAGAGTCTAATAGACATCTTAACATGAGTATTTCCTAACACAGGTTCTCATGTATGCCCACACAATGGGTCCTCTGCAAGCGTGCATCATCTCAGTAAATTGCACCTCTCTTTACCTGGCTACTCATTGCGTAAACACTTTGAGTGATCGTTCATATTTTTTTCTCTCTCTTTCTCCCTCTTTCTATACCCCATATCAAATATTTTATCTCTACTTTCAAAATATATCACCCCGCTATTTCACTATCAATATCATACTAGTTTAAGCAACCATCAATTCTCAGCTGGAGTGTTACATCAGTCTTTTCGATCTTCCTGAATTCAGTCTTCTCCCAACCACCTGAAAGTCTATTCTTGCCAGCATTATTCTTTTAAAACTAAGTCAGATACTTTCTCAAGACCCTCCAGGTCTTTCTTTCATACTGAGGAGATCACCTGAAGTCCTACCTTGTCCAACATAGCCATGCTTGGTCCACCTGCTTCCTGGTCACCTTTCTGAGTCTCCTACTTCTAACCACTTTGGTTACCCTGTTCCCGCTATGCTGACTCTCTTAATTGATGTAATGCTCTGGCATCAGTCCGGAGGAACTGTTTTGTGTTCTTTTATGTGATGATCAGTCAGATGCAGCTCCACGAAAAGATACAAGGGAGGCACAAGAAAACAAAGATTTTATACTCCAGGGTCTTAGAGAGGAGTCATGGCACACCAAGCCGTGTCACAGGGAAAGGGTCCAGTTTTGGTCCAGGTAGCAGAAAAGGAAGGCAAAAGTAGCCAGGGAAAATCAGAGGCTAGAGCCTTCACTGGGAATTCTAAGGGAAAAGCAAGGCAGGGGAGGTAAACAGCTTCAGATTGCCTAGTCTGAGTAATTCCAACAGGTTCTACACTATTGGGGTGCTGCTACCTAGTTGTATGGTACCTGCTCCTGGGATGATGAAGGCAGAGGAATATTGTCTTCTGGGGTACATGAGCCAGATAAAGGAGGCATGCCTCCAGATTGGTTAGTTTGCATATCAATGGCATGCTCTAAGGTGAGTCTTCTGCTATCTCTGAGAACTGACTAGGTATAGGAGGGGCAGTCTCTCAATAGCCAGAGAGGGTTGTTTTTTTAAGATACCAAACATCAAAATATACATTATTGTCAACTATAGTCATCCTATTGTGCTACTACTGAACACTAGCCCCTATTCATTCTATCTACCTATCTTTGTACCCATTAACCATGCCCTCTTTTTGCTCCCTTCCCACTACCCTTCCTAGCTTCTGGTAACCATCATTCTACTCTCTCTATCCCGCATATGAGTGAGAACATGAGATTTAACTTTCTGTGCCTGGATTATTTCACTTAATACAATGTACTCCATTTCTGTCCACGTCGTGGCAAATGATAGGATTTTGTTCTTTTTTTTATGGCTGAATAATATTACATTGTGTATATCTAACTACATAATTTATTGTATAATTCGAAATAACTAAAAGAGTGGAATTGGAATGTTTCTAACACAAGGAAACAGTAAATGCTTGAGGTGATGGATATCCCAGTTATTATGATTTGATTATTATACATTGTATCAAAATATCACATGCACTCCCTAAATATATTATGACTATTATGTGTCTATAATTACTCAAAATGAAAAGTTAAAAAACGTAAATCTAAGTACGATTCTTCACAAAAAAACCCATCCCATTGTAATATACAGAAATTTAAAAAATATATAAATAAGTTCATAAATAAAAATATTTCTGTATTGACAGTACAAGAATGAAGACCCTTCTACATCCAAATGAGGGAAGAGAGGGTGGAGTAGGCCTACCACTTTCTTCACTGCTTTGGTCCAGCAATGTCACTTACCAGTTTTGCCTCCATTGTACATATAGAAACTTGCCACATGGACACACCTGATGCAACGGGAGTTGGGAAATGTAGTCCCTATATGAGCAGCCAATTCCTACAAGCAACTCTACACTCTGGAAGGAGGAGTACAGATCTTAAGTGGACCTTTCTACACATCGTTCGTTTAATTATACGATTCCTTGGAAACACTAAGAATGTTTTCTCGTAGAATATCTCATTTGCGATTCCCTTTGCCTGGTACACCTTTCTCAGACCTTTTCATGGATCATTTCTTCATTGTGATCTTTGTGCAAATGTCACCTATTCAAAATGGCCTTCCTGATCACCCACTGTATCTTAAAAGCACCCAGCCTTGACTGGTGCACATATTTACTGCTTATTTTCTCTGTCTCCAAGGAGAGAAAGCTCCATGATTGCAGAGAAGGCCTGTTTTATTGCCTGCTGCATTATCAGTGACAAAATTTGTGTCTGGCAAATTGTAAGAGCTACAGGTATTTAAATTTAGGGCTTTAGAAGTTGAGGAGGGCATAATTATTTTTAAAGAAGAAAATAACTATAAATTCTTTGAGTATATATGAAAAGGTTTATATAGTCTCAGAAAATACAGAATGATATTCTAATTTAAAGCTGGACAAGTGGGTTAATACAAGATGACATTCTGGACTGTGAATATTGTTTTCCATGAAAGTAGTAGCCATAAGATATTTTTAAGAAGGAAGTGACATAATTTGATTTGTCATTAAGAGAAAAATAATTATGGGCCCAGGATGTGGCTCATGCCTGTAATCTGAGCACTTTGGGAAGCCGAGGTGGGTGGATTGCTTGAGCTCAAGGAGTTTGAGACCAGCCTGGCCAACACGGTAAAACCGTGTCTCTACTAAAAATACTAAAAGAATTACCTGGGTATGGTGAGAGCACCTGCGATCCCAGCTGTTTGGGTGGCTGAGGCACGAGAAGCACTTGAACCCAGGAGATGAAGGTTGCAGTGAGCCAAGATCATGCCACTGCAATCCAGCTTGGGCAACAGAGTGAGACCCCGTCTCAAAACAAAAACACAATTGTGAGTGTTGGGTAAATGCAGAGAGGGAGGGCGACAGACTAGAAAGCGGGATACCAGGTTATTGTATGGGACAGGGAAATAAAATGTAACATAACACCTACATTTTGGAAGCAGAGTATTGAGGATTTAATAATGGTTCCTATCTTTAAATATTCTCCCAATAATCTTATGATAGAAACATTATTTCCCTCTGTTTTACAGATGAGAATATTGAATTTCAGAATTCAGCATAAGTGATTCACTCAAGATTGTAGAGTTCATTGGCTCAAATAGATTTGTGTGGTTACAAATTGATTTTTTGTTTTTAGGCAGTGCAATGGACCCCTCTGAGATTAAAAGGTCTGTCAGCTGATGATCAGGTGGGAGGGGAGGTGTGGGGGAGGCAGTAAAAATGATGGGGGCAATGTGTGAATGTCCCTAGATGACGTTAATCAAGGTAGAGGGCCTAAAGGGAAGAATAGATTTACCAAGGAAGGCAGTAATGGTTTCAGCTGCTTTATTTCAAGTCTCACGTGCTGGGCATCTTACTCTACCT
Source organism: Homo sapiens (assembly GCF_000001405.40). Classification (NCBI taxonomy): domain Eukaryota; kingdom Metazoa; phylum Chordata; class Mammalia; order Primates; family Hominidae; genus Homo; species Homo sapiens. The sequence goes on along the minus strand of NC_000008.11, from coordinate 14,835,964 downwards.
TAATGAATAGCAACTTATTGGAAATTTAATTTCAGCTATTAATTTATAGATGATTACTCAGCAGCTTTTATTCCACAACTCTTAATTTTTGCAAATTATTATTTTTAAGACTTTGTAATGATTGTTTCTACTGAAAACATTTCCCAGCAACTGACATAAAGAAATCCCCTGTTGAATTGAGAATCAGTGGCTTTTGGCCTCAGGAATGTAAATACATTCACACAGCCCGCGTTACCAAGAGTCACTGTGCTTCTGTTGTTAGGCCAAGAACAGATTGGCTAAAGCGCAGCAAACATAAGTAATGATAAATGGTGGAATATCAAATTAGAACAGGTGTCTAGCAGGGTGCCTCAAGGATTGGTACTGGGCCCAGCCTTATTTAACACTCTCATTAATGATCTGGAAAAGCAGGTAAGCGGTGTGTCAAGGTTGGAGAGATGCTGTAAAAACCAGAGAGAAATGCAGTATCCTGCAGACACAGTCTTCAATTCCAAAACACAGTTTAGTATCAAGTGAGTGAAAGGAGAGAACTGTCGTGTAGATTGGGAATATAATTAGATTTATATAACTGGAAAGTAAGTAAGAAAATATTCAGGTCATCATTTTGGTTAATGGTTTTTAACCTTTTAATGTATAACTACAGAAAAATATTAGTATTTATTTGGAATCCTAGTATAATAGGTCAGGTTAGTTCGCAAATGACAGATGAAAATATTTCAGGTGCCTAAGGCTTTGTCTAGATGCTCAAGCACTGAGGGGCTAACCATCTTTCCTACACCTGTAACCCATTCAAAGAAAAATATTAGGATGATCTAAGAAAGGCCCATTTTTGGACAGATGTCTTGAGTAAACTTGTGTCTTTGATGAGAGATTGCAATCTAACTATTTCACAGGAAATTATATCATTTTGAATCTTTAATTTTAGACAAGAGTTGTTTCAGGACCATCTGTAGAGGTGGCTCTGATGTATTGGAATTGGAGGGACAGGTTAAGGTAGATACTTTATTTTTATCTGTTGCATTATCGTAGTTCTGAAGATGTTGCTAAAAAGCAGGGAGAGGGAGCAGTTTCTTTTGCAGGTGATGCAAGTGAGGGTCCTGGGAGAGAAAGTAACTTGCTCAAGCTCCTGCAGAGATTAAATCAGTATCCGAGTCCCTTGATCACAAAGTTCTGTGCTCTTTCCACCTTATCAAGGAAGACATGCTCTCCAAATATTCTGTACGCTTCCCTCTGTTTGTTTCTGACTTCTTCAAAATTAGTTGGGACTATGTGACAAAGCTGGCCCAGCAAAATTTGAGCAGAAATGATACACTTCCGCTCCAAAGTGCGATCATAAAAAGGCCATCCAATAGTTTTCAGTTTCTCTCCTTTTCTTGCTGCTAGGAATAACATCTTTTCAGATCGGGAATGCTCTGTCTCCTCTCCTTGCTGCTAGGAGTAACATCTTTTCAGGTGGGGAACTCTTTGGCAGCCTGAATTCCTGAGCAACTATGTTAAGGAGGGACCTCATTCAGTCTGCGATTAACATGTAGCATGAAAAATAAACCTTTGTTTGGCTTAAAAATTGATTTGGTAATACTGTAGTGTTTAGCCCATCTTGAGTGACACATTATGAATTACCAAAATAATTTTTGCAAAGAGATAAAAGAATCCTTAATGACATGAATAAAATGGCTAAGCTCAAAATTCTAAAAGATTTTGTAAAATATAAATCCATAGAATCTATTCAGGTAATGATTAATTTATCAGCATCAGGAATTTCTTTAAGGAAGGACACAGTTGTTCAGGAAAAAATCAATTACAAAATACCAATTTACAATGACATAGTGAGAATCACGGATCATGAAAAAAAAATCTAAAGCCCTTTTCAATTTATTTATATATTCAGCCTTACTGCAATGCTGTTAGTAACTCCTTTCATTTGCCCTATTTCCAAATAGAACACAATTATACTATTTTAGGAATTATTGACTAAGGCTGTAGTCATTTTTAAAGTAGCTTCCACAATATTTCTAAGCGAGGCTAAAAACATATTTTCCTCACCTTCTCCCCTCCAAACTGTTGACCTTTAATTTTTCATAAATATTCTTAGAGAGGACCCATTTATTTTCAGTTGATTTAATTTAACACATTTTTTTTTTTCCTGGATCATCCCTAGCTCCATAATTTCTTCTTTCTTCCAAGATTGAAAGACTCCTCTTTCTTCTTTGAAGTTTCCTCCACTTGCTCCAACCACCCCCAACTATGCTGCTTCTTCCTATAGCAGAAAAATAGAAAGCAGCTCCCTGAGGGAACCCCTTCCTTCGTCCCCATCTGCAAGCACATTCACCTTTTGCAGTTAATTCAGATTAGCTGAGAATCAACTAAAAACCTGAGGTGTTAAGGCTATCCTCCCTTTCAAATCAAACCATGTACTAAAATGTTAAGAACAATCAGCCTAGGCAAGGATGTCAGTTCACAGAAGTGCTCAGATATTTCAACCTCATGCTTCCTGGACCCATGTCAATGGGTCAGAAAAGTTCACCTAAAATACCTCACAAAAAGACACGAGCCGACAAGGTGTACTCACAGATCTGTATGTTTGGCTTCTCTGGGATTTTAATAAAATGTGAATTTCAGTGCGCTTAGATGGTTTTTTTTCTTTCCAGTTGACAACAGCCTCCATTTTACTCACATATGACTCTCTGTAGGTGCTTGAATTTGTCATCTCTGCCTAAACCTACTCTGTGTCATTTGTGTTTAACGATCATTAATGTGAGAGCCTATACTTTGGCATATTAATTCACATTTCAAAACCTGAATACATTAATACTACATTATTCCTGTAATGGAATAAAGTGTTCTTTTCATAAATAGGCTACATTTACTTACCAATAATTCATGTTTTAGGTTCTACTATGCTTCAGTATATAAAAAATCAACTGAGAAAAACAGATTAAGCATTTCAACATAATACAATAAAAATAAAAGGAATGATCAAACTATTAAAAATATATAGAAATATTTTAAAATTCATGGTAATTGAATTATGAATATATGCAAGATTATATTTATTTGGCAAGATATTATAGTTAAAAAAACCTACCTATTAAAACATCCTACCTATTTTATGCAACATACATATTAGAAAAAACATTGTATTTGAAAGGTTGGATTAATGAATTATTTATGTCTCTGAAATTTTCACTGTAATGTTTTATTGAGCCTAATATTCATAGGAAAGCACACAGATCATAAATATACAGCTCTATGAATTTTCCCAAAGTCAACACACCCATATACTCTGGCCCTGATAACAAAGAGAACATTACCAGAACTGCAGACACCCTTTCATGTCTCCTTTTGCCTTCCACATTTTTTAAAATAAAATCATATTTGCTTAAATTCTACAAAGTATATGTGTTAGCTTTTTCTATCTTCAATTACAAATTTACACAGAAGGAAAAGATTCACCCTGTTAAAAAAAATGCTACCCATCTCTTAGATACGGTGGTAGAAAACAGTTTTCCATGCCCTCATTTTATTTCTAACCAACCTCTTGGTCTTGCCTGGTCTTGGACCACCTGGGCATTATGGAATTTTGTGTAAATTCAGGGATGTTCTTGAGCAATCTTTTAGGCTGAATTTTTAGCATAGAATATTAAGCTGACAACATTCATGAGCAATATATTTAAAGTTCATGGTCAACCACATAATAGCTTTATTGATAGTTATCCATATATCATATCAAATAACACAAGAAAGCAAATAGAATAGTTAGAATGTGATCCTTCTAAATAAAAGAATTAATGTCACGATGTCTGCAAATGCCTTAAAAAGGGAAATTATTATGCACTTCAATAGTGACTTAAGAAGGCATTGCTATTTCAACATAGTTGATATTATTATTGTCGTTTTCATTGAAACTGCTTTCTGTTTGTTAATCTGTTTCTGTTGCTAGATTATAACTACCAATTACTATTTATCTATATGCCTCAATAAAACATAACACAGCTATTCTTTTAAAACACTTTTCATTAAATCAATCAGGAATTAGGTGTATGTACTGTTTGTGTGTGTATACACAAACATATATATACAAGTATATACATATACACACATATACATACTTATATACATGTATGTGCACACATATATACATGTATGTGCACACATATATACATGTATGTGTACACACATATATACGTGTGTGTATATATGTATATGTTTATACAGATCTTCCTTCTAACACCAGCTTTCAAAGACGTTTTTTAGAAAATGAGAAAAAATGTTTTAGTATAATTGTATACTGAGACAAGTGTATGTATATATATATATATACACACACACACATATGTGTCTATGTGTACACACACACACACACACAAACACACTTGTAGACATGTTTAGGAGAAACTTAATGAAGTTGAACATGTTTCCCAAAGTTGTGTGTCTAGTAGAATAAGTAGTAGACTGAAGTTCAAGTCGATGTCTATCTGATGGCAGATTCTCTTGAACTCTGGAGCACTGTGTCCCAGAATTATGAGCATCCAGGAGACAGCAGGAAAGGCTGGTGGTGGAGTCATGGTAGCCCCAGATAACACATAGATTATCTTGTTTTGATTGCCTGCATGTGTGGGAATAAGTATAGTCCTCTTCTATTTATTTAACAGTGAAGCAATATGTTTCCATGTACTATATCAAAGAACACCTTCTGTCCTCAAATATCTACAACTGAAACACCATGAGTATTTTGCCGTCATGTACTTTGAAAATCTTTCTTTGACCTGTGTACTCTATAACATTTTTATTAGCCAGAGTCATCCATAGTTTCCATCATGGACATATACACTTTTCAATTGGAAGAGAGTCATATTAGGCTACAGAAGAAATGACTTCCTCATATTATGAGCAAGGAAACTGAGACTGAGGTAAAGAGGTATTTCCAAGTTCACATTATTACTTAGGAGTCAAATAAGATTTTTACATAGCTGGCTCCTTTCAAGAGCTCTTTCTACACTTCCACTTCCTAAATTAAAATAGAAAGGAAACATTTATTTGGATTTTTCTTTGATCCAGAAAGCTCTGATAATTTCCTTTTCTTCCTTGTAACACCAGTTTTCAAAGACTTTTTTTAAAAAATGAGAAAACATGTTTTCGTTTAGTGTGATTGCATACCGAGAGAGCTTGCATACCTTTTGAGATGTTGTGACCAAATATATATTGATTCTAAATGTTATTGGCTGACTTGTAATATAACCAACTGGGAATATAATGACATATAAATCAGCAGCATTCCTTTGCAAACTAAAGTCACTGTGATATGAAAAAAATAATTATTAGTTTTGTCTACTCTGGAATAGGCATGCATAGACCTCTTTTAACAATAAATAGCACACTAGAATTTTATGGACTTTCACAGTTATCTGTGATTATTAAAAACATATAAAGTTACAATTTAAACAATACAATTAATAGCATTATTCTAATAGGTATATGTAGAACTCTGCAAAAGAGAGAGAAAGAAAGAGGAAGAATAAAGAATGATTCAGACTCTTTAAACTGTAATAATTGTAAAAATTGACAATATTTAATGCTAAAAAACATATTGACAGATAACAAATTGATGTCATACAGAGTACTTCTGTGATCAACATGTAGTTAGCTTGGAAATATAAGTTACATATAATACAGTAAATGTTAACTAAGGCAAACCAAAAAAAAAAATTTGGAAACCAAACACACCCATTTATCCTAATATACTTCTAAGTAACTGATGGAATAATTAAATAACCAAATAAATAAAGTTGGTCCATATTTTTAATTCAATTTTTACAACTGAAATTCAACTTAAAAAATAAAAAATACAAACATAAGGCCGGGTGCGGTGGCTCATGCCTGTAATCCCAGCACTTTGGGAGGCCAAGGCGTGCAGATCACGAGGTCAGGCGATCGAGACCCCTGGCTAACACGGTGAAAACCCCGTCTCTACTAAAAAATAGAAAAAATTAGCCGGGCGTGGTGCAGTCGCCTGTAGTCCCAGCTACTCAGGAGGCTGAGGCAGGAGAATGGCGTGAACCCGGGAGGCGGAGCTTGCAGTGAGCCGAGATCGCGCCACTGCACTCCAGCCTGGGCGACAGAGCGAGAATCCGTCCAAAAAACAAAAACAAAACAAAACAAAACATGTTAGGGAACTTTTAATCTTTACAAGTTTTATGATTTTTTTTAAAAAAACCCTTAAATAATCAGTTAAATTAAACATCCAACTTTAGTTAAGCATCTAACTACTGTAAGAAAAGACGTAAGAAAATAGAAGAAACGGACTAATGTATATTGTAGCTGATATATTTTAAAATTTGTGCAGAAAATTGGAAATTATCTCAGTTTAAGGCACTTAGGAATCATTTACATTAACAACCTTAATTTCTTGTTCAAAGGTTATGCTATATTTTCTACTTGAATATAACTATTCAAACTTACTTTCCTATTGATGTTCAATTCTACTTACAAGGGGACTTCAAGAAGTTCATGGAAAAATTGAATTAAAAGATAAAGAAAATAATATACACTTTATATTTCAACATAAGCGTCATCAAGTTCAAGACACTTTTGTAAGGGATGATACCAGCCATTTAGTCTATCCCTGAAGAATTGACGTTTCTGGGAATTTAATGATGTCAATGCAGTTTTTTAAAAAACATTATTAACTTACTAGTGGTAGCTAAATGTTGAGAACACATGGATATATAGACGGCAACAATATGCACTGGGGCCTATCAGAGTGTTGGGGTGGAAGCAGGGAGAGGATCAAGAAAAATAAATAATCGGTACTGACCTTCATACCTGGATGAGGAAATAATCTGTACAACAAACTCCATGACACAAGTTTACCTTTGGAACAAACCTTTGTTACACAAAGGTTTCAGGGACACATGTACCCCTTGAACTTAAAAGTTCAAAGAAAATTAGCTGAAGAAATTTAGGTGTCCTTTCTAGATTCGTTTTTAAGATTAGAAAACAAACAAAAAAAAGGACTCCAAAGGAGCCATATCAGGACTGTTAAGATGGATGTCTACTAATTTTCTATTGAAACTCTTGCAAAATTGTCCTTGTTTGAAGAAAGAAATGAGTGGAAGCATTGTTATGGTAAAGAAGGACTCTGCTGAAATGTTCTCGGGCATGGGCATTTTTCTGCTAAAGCTTTAGTTGATGATTCTCTCAAAACACTCTCATACTAAGCAGATGTTGTTGGTCTTTGGCACTCCTGAAAGTCAAGAAGCAAAATGCCTTGAGCATCCCAAACAACTGCTGCCATGACCCTTCCTCTTGACTGGAGCAGTTTCACCTGGACCACTGACACCTCTTGATAGCCACTGGTTTGATTGTGCTTTGTCTTCAGAACTGTACTGGATGAAGTCATGTTTTCTGTCCTGTTAAAATTAGAGGAAGTGCTTCAGGATCTTGATTACACTTGTTTAAAATTTCCATCGAAAACTCAGCACTTGTCTGCAGCTCATTTAGGTACAAAGGTTTTGGTAACCATCAAGTAGAGTTTGCTTAACTTTAATTTTTTAGTCCGAATGGTGTAAGTGGAACCAATTGAAATGTCAGTGTTGTAGCTTTTGTTTTTGCTTTTAATCATTGCTTCTCTTCAATTAGGATACAAATAAGATAACTTTTTTCCTTGCAAATTGACATAAATCATTTGTTCCTGCAGGCTTCATCTTCAATATCATCTCATCCCTTCTTAAAATGAGTTTCTACTTGTAAACTGGTCATTTCTTTGGGGCATTGCTCCCATAAACTTTTTGTAAAGATTCCGTGCTTTCACCATTCTTCCATTTAATCTTCACCATAAATTTGTATTTGTTCTTGCTGCAATTTCAGCAGAATTACTTTTCTAATAGAGATTCATTTCAAGCTGATGTGTGATCAGCAGCTTCTCAGTGTTTCAGTTGAGGTCCTGTCAGACATGTTAAACAAGTAGTACGAGTTTATTTTGGTGCAAAAAATTTTTGAACACTTTGCCTAGTTCTTTCATAATACATATTTTCCATGAATGATTTGAAGATCCCTTGTATATTCAATACAGGTTAAAAAATACACCGGGTGATATGTGTGTCTGTGTGTGTGTGTGTGTTTATTAATGTGTGTTTATGTATATGTGTATCCGTGTGTGCATATATTAACAACTGTATTACTTTAATTTCATGTAGTTAAATGATATAAAGATGACTTATATTCTGTCATTGCATTAGAGTTGAGGTTGGCAAATGCTTTCTGTAAAGGGCTAGATAGTAAATATTTAAGGCTCTGCAGGGCACACAGTGTCTGTTGTAACTATTCAACTTCATCATTGTGGCATGAAAACAATCACAGACTCTTTCTTTTTCACAACCCGTGCAGTTCCTTCCCACATTGACTCTGTGCATGACCATTTGACATGGAATTGGCAAATGGGACATTAGAAAATGTGATATAAGCACTTTGGGAGGCCAAGGCGGGTGCATCATATGAAGTCAGGAGTTTGAGAACAGCCTGGCCAACATGAAGAAACCCTGTCTCTACTAAAAACACAAAAATTAGCTGGGCATGGTGGTGCATGCCTGTAATCCCAGCTACTTGGGAGGCTGAGGCAGAAGAATCGCTTGAACCTGGGAGACAGAAGTTGCAGTGAGCTGAGATGGCGTCACTGCCCTCCAGCCTGGGTGACAGAGTGAGACTTTGTCTCAAAAAAAAAAAAAAAAAAGAAAAGAAAAGAAAATGTGATATAAACAGAGACTTAACAATCCTTGGCACATTGGAGTCTGTTTTTTTTTTGAAACTTCCATTCTTGGAACTTAGCTGCCATGCTGAAAGGTGGTCTGGTATATTCTTAAGAAAGATATGTCTAACATGTAAGTCTTTAATCCATAGACCTAAAACCATAAAAACCCTAGAAGAAAACCGAGGCAATACCATTCAGGACATAGGCATGGGCAAGGACTTCATGTCTAAAACACCAAAAGCAATGGCAACAAAAGCCAAAATTGACAAATGGGATCTAATTAAACTAAAGAGCTTCTGCACAGCAAAAGAAACTACCGTCAGAGTGAACAGGCAGCCTACAGAATGGGAGAAAATTTTCACAACCTACTCATCTGAGAAAAGGCTAATATTCAGAATCTACAATGAACTCAAACAAATTTACAAGAAGAAAACAAACAACCCCATCAAAAAGTCGGCAAAGGATATAAACAGACACTTCTCAAAAGAAGACATTTATGCAGCCAAAAGACACATGAAAAAATGCTCATCATCACTGGCTATCAGAGAAATGCAAATCAAAACCACAATGAGATACCATCTCACACTAGTTAGAATGGCGATCATTAAAAAGTCAGGAAACAACAGGTGCTGGAGAGGATGTGGAGAAATAGGAACACTTCTACACTGTTGGTGGGACTGTAAACTAGTTCAACCATTGTGGAAGTCAGTGTGGCGATTCCTCAGGGATCTAGAACTAGAAATACCATTTGACCCAGCCATCCCATTACTGGGTATATCCCCAAAGGATTATAAATGATGCTGCTACAAAGACACATGCACATGTATGTTTATTGCGGCACTATTCACAATAGCAAAGACTTGGAACCAAGCCAAATGTCCAACCATGATAGACTGGATTAAGAAAATGTGGCACATATACACCATGGAATACTATGTAGCCATAAAAAATGAAGAGTTCATATCCTTTGTAGGGACATGGATGAAGCTGGAAACCATCATTCTCAGCAAACTATCGCAAGGACAAAAAACCAAACACTGCATGTTCTCACTCATAGGTGGGAATTGAACAATGAGAAGGCATGGACACAGGAAGGGGAGCATCACACTTTGGGGACATAGGTGGGGGGAGGGGGGAGGGATAGCATTAGGAGATATGCCTAATGCTAAATGACTAGTTAATGGGTGCAGCACACCAACATGGCACATGTATACATATGTAACAAACCTGCACATTGTGCACATGTACCCTAAAACTTAAAGTATAATAATAATAAAATTAAAAAAAGAAAGATATGTGTATACAAGAGAGTGTCATTCAGACATAAAATGGAAGAAAATCCTGCAGTTTGTGGTAATACAGATGAGTCTGAAGAATATCATGTTAAGTGAAATAAGCCAGACACAGAAAGACAAGTACCACATGATCTCACTTACATGTGGAATCTTAAAAAGTTGATTTCATAGAATAGACGGTAGAACAGTGGTTACCAGACACTGGAGGGTAGGAAGAATGGGAGAGATGTTGTTCAAGGGTTCAGTGTTTCAGTTGTAAGATAAGCAAGTTCCGTTGTACTAAGATAAAGCTTATGTGGGGATGAATGAGTTAATTAATTTGACTGTGGTAATCATTACACAATGTATACATGTATAAAATCATCATGTTGTTCAAGTACATACAATATTTATTTACCAAAAATTTAAAGTCACAATTATTTTGTATAGAAAAATTATTAAATAATGCCATAAACTTGACAATGCACAAATTACTTTTAATTGTCTAAAAATGATGAAACGATTTTTATATTTTTTGAGTTCTTCAGTAAGTTCCGTATTACTATAAATCTAAGCACATGTATTAAAAAATTGTAAAGATTCTATTAGGTTCTAGAGTGTGAAAACAAGAATAGTGAGAGATAAGTGACGATACACATAGGAACAGGTAATTAGAGATTTCATGTATCTTGCTAAGGATTTCACAGATGGGAAGCTATAAAAGGTTTTCTTTACTGGATGAATGTATAATGTTAAGATTTTTGTTTTTAACAGATAATTCACAGCGCTCCATGAAATATCAATTTAAGAGAGAGGAAGTAGTGTAGATTACCAGTAGGTTACTAGCTGGATGCTGATGACAATAACTGATATTAACTGAAAAGTAAACATTGAAGGAAATTCAGTTTAGTATAGTGTGGGAAACAGTATTTTCAGTTTGGGACTCTGCTAATTTAGGGATATGTGTTGGTCTTGTAATACAGTATGTCTACCAGAGTCTGAGGCTCACATGAAGAAATTTAGAATGTTGACAAAAAATTGGTATCCATAAGCATATAAATCACAGTTGAAAACAAAGTAGTAAGAGTTTGTTCAAGGCAAACCTAGAGTGAGTAGATCAATAGAGAAGAAGGATTTCTATACTACATCGCTGAAAATTTAAGCGTTTATGTAGAAGATATTTTGGGATAAGGAGATCCAGGGGAATGTAAGCTCAAGGTAGCATAGGCAGTGAAATTTCTTAATTATCACTCATTCCTCAAACAAGGATTTTAGGATTAATTCATATTTAGATTTTGTTAGTCAAGCAGGATGTAAAGGCAGGTTCTTGGTCTTCACATGATGAGAATAAATAATGAAGGCTTTAAAAGTTCAAATGGTCTTTATTATGGAAGCCAGGGCATGAGAAACATAGGATGTCATATCAAGAGTACATCCTGGATTTTTTAAAATTATGATATGGAAATATTTGAAGTAACAATGAGGAATTTTATTGGTTTTAGTGTCAGTAATTTAGGGGAGTAGACATGAAAATTTTTAAAATTTATTACTATTAAAGTGGCACACTATAATTGTACATATTTATGGAGTATAATTTGATTCTTTGATACAAATCTATGTTGTATAATGATCCAATAATCGGTAGTCAGTGTATCCATCCCCTGATGCATTTATCATTTATTTGTGGTGAGAACATTGAGGAGCCCCTCTTGGTAATTTCTAATGCATAATTTTTACTGTTAAATATAGTCACCCTACTGTGCAGTGGAATGCCAGAATTTATTCCTTCAACCCATTTGTAAGTCTGTTTCTCTCGAAAAACCTTTTCTCATCCTCCTCTCCTCTTTTGCTTCCCTAGTCTCTGGTAACCACTGTTCTATTCTTTGCTTCTATGATATCCTCTACCTTTTTTTTTCCCTTTAGATTCTATATATAAGCAATACCCTGCAGTATTTATTTGTCTTTCTGTATCTGGCTTATTTCATGTAACATCATGTCCTCTGTGTTCATCCATGTTGTTGCAAGTGACAGAATTTAATTCCTTTTTAAAGCTGAATCATATACCATTGTCTATCTATTCCATATAATCTTTACCCATTCATCTGTTACTGCATGCTCAGTTTGATTATCCGTCTTGTCTATGGTGAGCAGTGCTGCAAAAAACATGTAACTCCAGGTATCTCTTCAATATAGTGATTTATGTCCTTTGAATATAGACACAGGAATGGAATTGCTGGATGATATGGTAGTTCTATTTTTAATTTTTTGGAAGAACTCCTATACTGTTTTCCATAATGCATGTACTAGTTTACAGTCCCAAGAACAGTGTGTAAATATTCCCTTCTCTCTACAAGTTCTCTAACATTGGTTTCCTTTGTCTTTTTCTTAATAGCCATTCTACCTGGAAAGAGGTGGTATTTATTGTAACTTTAAGTTGTAGTTGCTTGACGATTAGAAATGTTGAGCATTTTTTCATATCTGTTGGCCTTTCTTATGTATTTTTTTGAGAAATGTGTGTTAAGGTCTGTTGCCCATTTGTTAATTGAATTATTTATTTTTTATTGTTGAGTTGTTTCAATTCTTTACATATTCTGGATTTTAAATCTTGTTAAATATATTGTTTGCAAATATTTTCTTCTGTTTTGTATGTCGTCTCATCACTTGGTTAATACTGGCCTTTCCTGTGCAAAACGTTTTTTTGTTTGATGTAATTCTGTTTGTATATTTTTGCTTTTGTTACCTGTGCTTTTGAAGTCTTATTTAAAAATTTCTTGCCTAGCCCAATGTCATGAAGCATTTCCACTGTTTTCCTTTTATTTCTAATAGCTTCACGGTTTCATGTTTTGCACGAAAGTTACACAGAAGTCTTTTTTTTTTTTTTTTTTTTTTATGAGGATTGGTGTGGCTTCATTGCCCAGGCTGGAGTGCAGTGGCGCGATCTTGGCTTACTGCAATCTCTGCCTCCCAGGCTCCAGCAATTCTCCTGCCTCAGCCAGCCAAGCAGCTGGGGTTATAGTGGCATGGCACTACATTTGGTTAATTTTTGTATTTGTTGTAGAGATGGGATTTCACAATGTTGCACACGCTGGTCACGAGCTGCGCTGAAGCCTTGAATTCATTTTGAGTTTACTTTTGTATATCATGAAAGGGAGCAGTCTATTTTTGTTCTTAATGTGGATATCTTTTTTTTTTCCAGCACAATTTATTGAAGAGACTGTCTTATCCCCAATGTTCTTGGCATCTTGGTTGAAAATCAATTGGCTGTAAGTGGGTAAATTTGTTTCTGGGCTCTCTTTTGTTCTGTTGGTTTACATATCTGTTTTTATACCACCACCATGCTGTTTTGGTTTCTATAGCTTTGTAGCATATTTTGAAGTTAAGTGGTGTGATATTTTTAGCATTGTTATCTTTGCTCAGGATTACTTTGGCTATTTAGGGTCTTTTGTGATTCCATGTGAATTTCTTTTTTGTTTCTGTGAATAATGTCAGTTGTATTTTGATAGGCATTGCATTAACTTTGTAGATCACTTTGGGTGGTATGATCATTTTAACAATGTTAATTCTTCCAGTTCATGAATGTGGAATATCTTTACACTTAATTCTGTCATCTTCAATTTCTTACATCAAAGTTTTACAGTTTTCAATGTACACATCTTTCACCTCCTTGGATAAGTTTATTCTTAGCTATCATTTTTTTTGTAGCTATCAGAAATGAAATTGTTTTGTTGATTTCTTCTTCATAGGCTTAATTATTAGCCTATACAAACGCTATCCATTTTTGAATGTTGATTTTTGTGTCCTGAAACTTAACTGAATTTATTTATTAGTTCTAACCGTGTGTGTGTGTGTGTGTGTGTGTGTGTGTGTGTGTAATCTTTAGGGTTTTTTATATTTAAAATCAAGTCATCTGCCAACAGGGACAATTGACTTCTTTGTTTTCAATTTGGATGTCCTTAATATTTTTTCTCTTGCCTAATTGTCCTGGCTAGGATTTTTAGTACTATGTTGAAAAGAAGTGGTGAAAAGTTAGCAACCTTGTCTAGTTCCTAATTTTAGAGTGAAAACTGTAGACTTTTTCCCCATTCGGTATGATAGTAGCTGTGGATTTGTCCCGTATGGCCTTTATTGTGTTATTTGCCATTTATACCTAATTTGTTGATAATTTTTTTTCATGAAGGGATGCTGAATTTTGTCAAATGCTTTTTCTGCCTCTATTAAAATGATCATAGGGATGTTTGTCTTTGTTTCAATTAAAGTGATTTATCACATTTAATGATTTGGGTATGTTAAGACATTCTTGCATCATAGAATCAGGTTCGCCTGATCATAGTGCCTGATCTTTTTAATGTGCTATTGGATTTGGTAGGCTAATATCTTGCTGATAATTTTTACATCTATGTTCATCAGGGATATTAGCCTATATTATATATTTTTTTAATTTCCTTATTCATTTTTGGAATCAGGATAATGCTGGCCTCATAAAGAGTTTGGAAGTTTTCCCTCATCTTTAGTTTTCTGGAAGAGTTTAAGGATAATTGGTATTAGTTCTTTTAATGTTTGGTTTAATTTAGCAGTAAAACCAACAGATGTTCCTGGCTATACTTTGATGAGAGAATTTTTATTACTGACTCAATTACCTCTCTCATTATTGTTCTGTTCAGTTTTTCTATTTCCTCATAATTTAATTTTAGTAGACAGTGTATGTCTAGGAATGTAACTGATTCTTCTGTGCTATCAAATTTGTTGATGTGAAGCTGTTCATTCATAATAGTCTCTTATCAGCCTTTGTATTTCTGTGACATCAGTTTTAACATTTCTTTTTTCATCTCTGATTTTATTTGAGTTTTCTTTTATTTTTGTTGTCTATCTTAAGGTTTGTCAGTTTTGTTTATCTTTTACAAACCAATTGTTTTGTTGATCTTTTCATTTTTTGAATCGCTATTTTACTTATCTCTGCTCTGAGCTTTATTATTTCCTTCCTTCAACCAATTTTGAGTTTAGTTTTTTCTAGTGTTTTTTTTTTGTTCCTTTAGGGTGTTTTTATGTTTTTTATTTGAAATCTTTTTTTGTTTTTTGATCTAGGGGTTTATTGCTAACCTCCCTCTTAGGAATGCTTTTGCTATGTTCCATAGGTTTTGTTGTTTCCCTTTTTGTTTGTCTCAAGAAAAATTTTTAGATCCCTTTTAATTTCTTCATTAACCCATTGGTTTCAAAGGAACAAGTTGTTTAATTTCCATGTTATTGTAAATTTTCTGAAGTTTTTCTTGTTGACTTCTAGTTTTACACCATGGTGGCTAGAAAAGATACTTACAAGAGTTCAGATTTTTAAAATTTGTTAACACTCGTTTGTGATCTAACATGTAATCTATCCTGGAAAATGTTCCAAATGCAGTTGAGAAGAATGTGTGCTCTGTAGCTGTTGGATGGAAAGCTGTACAAATGTTCATTAAGTCCATTTGGTTTATGGTACAATTTAATTCCAATTTTTCTTTGTAGACTTTTTTCCTAGATGAAAGTGGGGAACTCAAGTCCTATACTATTATTTCATTGCAGTCCATTCCTTTAGATGTAATAATATTTTCATTATATACCTGGGTGCTCCAGTGTTGGGTGTATATATATTTGCAACTATTATATACTCTTATTGAATTGATCCCATTTTCATTGTATAATGATGTCTCTTCAGTCTCTGACTTAAAGTCTGTTTATAAGTATGGCTATTCATGTTGACTTTGGTTTTCATTTGCCTGAAATGTCTTTTTCTATGCCTTCCATTTAGTTGATGTTTGTCTTTAATTATTAGGTGAGTCTCTTGCATGCTATGTATAGTTAGGTCTAATTTTTTCTCCATTTTTTCTCCATTTAGCCACTCTATACCTTATGTTTTAATTGGACAATTTAATTCATTTATATTCAAGGTGGTTTTTGACAGATAAGGAGTTATTCCTGCCATTTTGTTAGTTGTTTCCTGGTTCTTTTATAGGTACATTGTTCCTTTCTTACTCTGTGGCTGTTTACTTTAGTAGTTTGGTGGTTTTCTGTGGAGCTAGCTTTGTTTCCTTTCTCTTTATTATTTGTGTATCTGCTTTAATTTCTTTCTTTGTGGTTACTATTGTGCTAACATAAAATCTTGTGGTTAAAATGGATTATTTTAGGTTCATAGCAACTTGACTTTGGTCACATAGAAATACTCTACAATTTTTCCCTCTTCTCTACAATGAATATTTTTGTTGCTCTAATTTACTTATTTATCTGTTGTGTGTTCCTTAGCCACTACTTGGAGCTATTGTTTTTGAGCATTTTTAATCCTTCATACTGGAGTATTGAAAGATTTACACTGCACCATTACTTCACTAGGGTGTTCTAAGATTGAATTATACATTTATCTTTGTTGGAGAGTTTCATACTTTCATGTGTTTTGTGATAATTATCCTTCTCATGTTTGCAGTTGTAGCACTTTCTTGAGTGTTCCCTATAAGGCCAGTCTTGTGATTGGACTTCCCTATAAGGCCAATTTTGCAGGCTAGGAGACAATGGGATGATATATACAAAGTGCTTAAGGAAAAAACAAACTATTTGCTAAGAGTACTATTTCCAGGAAAACTGTCCGTCGTAAATGAAGGAAAAGTAAAGACCTTCCCAGACAAGTTAAATCTGAGAGAATTCTCAGCTCTTCATTCCATTCTTTCCTAGCCTGCAAGATTTCTGCTACACAATCTTCTGATAGTCTAATGGGAGTTCCCTTATATGTGACTTGACACTATTCTCTTGCAGCTTTTAGAATTCTACTTTTACTTTTACTTTTTTTTTTTTAGAATTCTGTCTTTTACTTTTGAGAGTTTGATTATAATGTGCCTTGGAAGGTTCTTTTGGGTTGAATCTATCCACAGATCTTTGAGCTTCCTGAATCTGGATATCCATATCCCAATACATAGAATGTTTTCAGAAATTATTTCATTAGATGACTTTTCTGTTCTTTTTTCTATCTCTTCTACAACTGGAATACCTGTAATGAGATTATTTGTTTAGTGGTATTCTATAAGTCCCATAGGCTTTCTTTATTTGCCCCCATCACTAGATTATTTTTAAAATCCTGTCTTCAAAATCAGAAATTCTATCTTCTGCTTGATCTAATCTGTTCTTGAAGCTCTCAGTTGTATTTTTTATTTCCTTCATAGAATTCTTCAACTCTAAGATATTTTTAATTACATCTTTCTCTTTGTTGAATTTCTCATTTAGACCATAAATTGTTTTCTTGACTTCAGTGAATTATTTGTTTGTGTTCCTTTGTATCTCATGAAATTTCCTTAAGATTATCAGTTTGAATTCCTTTTCAGATATTCTGTAAATGTCCTTTGCTTTGGGTTCTGTTAGTGGAGACTTATTGTACTCCTTTGAAGCCATCATGTTTCCTTGACTTTTCGTGTTTGCTGTTTCCTTACAATGATATAACTTTTGTAGGGGAAGAATTTTTCCTATGGATGGGTTCTTTGGTGTCGATTTGTTATGGTATGTTGGTTTTGGTTCTGGCTAGCCTCTGTGGTCTCTGTGCAGTTTCTTTGGCTATAATTCTCATTAGCAATGTCTGCAATTGCCTCAGTGGGTAGGCTGTACAGTTTGTGATGGTGGTGGCACAGTATTGCTTGGGGTGAGAGTATCAGGTTAGTCGTCAGGCCAGACATGTGTGTGTACAGAGGCCTAACAGGCTGGCTGGTGGGCTCTCTGGGGAGGCAGTGGCTGTTGACAGGCTGGCTGTTAAGCTGAGCTCATGAATGTGTGAGTGTGACCAGCTGGGAGATTGTGCAGCTGTCTCTCCAGGGAGTTGGGGTCACTGCAAGATTGGAGGTCTGCCCAGTGTGGGTGGGCTGGGCACAGAAGGGCCGGATGGCTTCATGGCACTCTGTCCAGAGAGTCAGAATTGCTGTCATACAGACTATTGGGATAAGTAAATGTACCTGCAGGCATATCTGGGCGAGGTGCCTCTTTGGCAATATATTAAAGTGGACAGGTCCACTAAGGGACTGCCTGTTGAGCCAGGTGTGAGTGTTTGCAGGCACAGTGGATTCAGGTGGCTCTGCAATGATCTGGGGTTGGGGCATAGGGAACCACAGGGCTGACTGTTGAACTGGATGTAGCTGTGTGCTGGTTTGCCAGGTTGTACATGGGCTGTGCACAACAATGAGCGCACATGGGCAAGTCAGTCAGCTGGCTATTTAGCAGCTTCTCCATGTTGCAAGTGCAGTTGTTCCCTGGCGGAATGAGGGTGGTGCCATGTGGGTTCAGACATTGAGATCTTGGTAATTCCATCTGGCCTAGGCTCCAGGCATCCAGAGTTGTAGTGCTGTAGGCACCTGTGTGAATGTGGTATAGTGACAATGGTGTCTCAGGAATGGGAATTCAGTTGAAACTGATCCCTAGGGCAGAAAGTACTCTAGAAATGGGTCTAGTTTCAAGATGGTGCTGTGCTGTAGCAGCTTAGGTTGCAAGGGTAAGGGCTCCTAAGTTGGCCTCCTACTCTGAAGCGATGCAGCCCCTGGCTACTCTTCAAACTGGATTCAGGGCCTGTGAGGACTGGGGGCTCTCTTATAGTAAAGATTGCTTGTATTTTGTGGCAGTAGTGATGACCACCGGAGATCTGCTTACCTTTTCCCTGTAAGACAAAATCCTCCATGATGCTGAGCTGATCCTGTTAGGTGAGACTATGTGGCAGAGGCAGGTGCCTCCATCCCCTCTCTATGGCGTTATCCTGGGCTTCTGTGACACACAGAAGGAGGCAGTCTCCCTTAAGGAAAAGGATGTTACTGAGTGTGCAACATGTAATGAAGTGTTGGTATAACTACTGGGAAGGGGAGATGAACCAAAATAGTGTGGAAGAAGCTATCTCTATAGATCATGAAATGGACAAAACTTTTAATGTGATTTGAGGAATGATGGTACCACTTGACCTTCAGTTTCTTAATGAAACTCTGGTATCAATTGTGAGCTTAGACACAGTCTAATTAAAAAGTAATTGTGATATATGTATTTTGGTGTTAGGACTAAAATTGATAAGTGCAGACATGGAAAATATAACATATTCTCTTTGCCTTTTTGGCAGATACATTTGCTGTTTGGTGCATTTTGGTAATTGAATTAAATTAATACAATTTAATTAAGTTAGTTCATTTTTAAGGCTATAAACATATATAAAGGAGGATATATGGAGCTTACAATTCTTTTATCAGTATACTTCTTCTGTTGGAGACTTCGGTATTACCAAATTATTCTGTGATTTTAACATGGTTAATTTCTTATATTCACCTCAGAGTCCAACAACTGAACTAGAGTAACTTAGTATAACTGAGAAATTAATAACTCTTGAGAATTTGTTCCCATCCAACATCATTCCATTGTATGCTTTTTATGATAATTATTTACATAGTTAATTATACTGATGAACAGAAAGTTGAATTTCACAGTTATATACCTACACATATAAGGGAAAATTACTGAACAGAAATCAGTGAATATAACATTGTACTTTCTGACTAACCAGTGAAGTCTGAGGTATCCTGTATTACACACTCATAACACACTTAACTAATTGTCAAAGTGTTGTAAAAGTTTTTAAGGAACTGTGGGCTGGTAATGTTTCCTCCAGCCTCATCAGAGCATAGAACAGGCAGAAATACGTTGAAGAGCTGTAGAACTGTGCTGCTCAAACGAATAACCACTCACACGTGTGTAGTGAATATCTGAAATATGTCGAGACTGCATTGAGAGATGATGAAAGTGTCTAATTCCCACTGCATCTTCGAGACTTAGTATACAAAATGTAAACATGTCAATATTTTTAAAAATACCAATTGCATGTTGAAATGGTTGAAATATATTTGACATACTGCATTAAATGGAATATATTGTTAAAATTAATTTCACTGGCCTCATTTTATTTTTTAAAAAGTGATTTGAAAATTTAAAATTGTATAATGGCTCACATTATATTTTTATTGGATGATGCTTCTAAAGAGGGTGGACCAACATCAAATAAATTAGGTAGACAGCATTCTTTCTTTTGATAGGCTTTATTTTGCATACAGTTACTCCAAGTGAAGTCTTAAGAATCTCCTGTGTTTTCACACATAACATCAGTTTTATTCCATAATACCACAGATAACATCACATATTATCAGATAGTATAATAGATTGCCCTCATTTGTAATATTTTAGTCACTTTTCTGTTTCCTGGGTCTGGTTAGACTCCTCATGCTGAATGGAATAGTTGTTCACACTGCTACCTTGATAATGACATAGTAGTTTGAACAGGAATAGGTACTGCATATTTCTATACATACTCTGTGTGGTACTAGTGATAATATTATTGTGACATTTAAGTATGTGCTGGCATAGGTGCAGACAATGTCTAAAGAATTCATAGTGATTTATTCCTGGAAGATATACTGCCGGAAGAAATATTTTCATCACAAAGGTCCTGTTTTTATTCTTACTCTCCCATCTCTACATCCATCTAGTCCCTTTTGTTTTGAAGTAAGTAGTTATGAACCACATGCAAAAAAAAAAAATCATACAAGTTGCTTGAAAAACTGGCAAATGTAATAATTAATTTTATTTTATCAACTTTCCGCTATGTATAAGGGTTATGAAACAAATTTTTCTTTGCCTTCTATTTTTTATTTGCTTCTAAATTTCAAAAAAAAAAAAGAAAATTGAGATAATCTACTCAAGTAAATGAATTATTCTGCAGAAAAATTTCAGCAGTCTACAAAGACATTGAGCACTTTCTTCTCAACATACACTTACTAATTGAAGTATAACCAAAATAATAACAAATACCCTGCCTTTTGACAGGATGTCATGTTGGGACAAATTGCTCCAATAAATAAAGTGAATTACCACATATCAGAGAATCTCAGTTTTCAAATCAGGCACATCAGAAACAAGAAAAAATGGAGGCAGAAGAAGTAACCGAGTTCAGAACAGTAGTTTTCTTTTTTTAATGTCCTATTACAGAAACAGCAAACATTAATTAGGATGAAATAGCAACTATATGTAGCTGGTAAAATTACAAGTATTCCTAATCTGTTATACGGACACATTGCCCTCTTTATAAAATTACCATAGTTGGCTGAAAAAGTACTGTTTTCAGTCATAATACCTTGCTCAAGAAAAAAGAAATAGTCTTAACCGATTTCTGCAAGGAAATGATGAGATTTGGTGATGAGAGAAGTCAACTCAAGAAACAAACAAAAAATTCTCCAAGTTCCTACCTGCCGAGCTGGCAAGAAATTCATTCCCAGCTTGCGTCCTCCCATCTTCTCTGAACTCTTAAAATAATCCTATACTTAAGTAGGGCCAAATAACAAGATAGATAGAAGGTCAATTATTTCTTTGGCTATGAGATGCTGCTTTACATACTTGGTTCCTGCCTTCAATTCTTATGGCACTTCTGGGGGCCCTCTTAGGAGCCTCCGGTGCCTTTTGTTTCCCTTACTTTATACTGGAAAGTGCTATTGGCCCTGCCTTCCTAGTTCTGTGCAAGTGGGGATGTAGCTCTTTGAATCTTTGCCCTTCCTTCTTCTACCTCCTCTCCACGCTTAGGAAAAACTCAAACAGGGCCCTAGTTTTAGAGCTTCAGTCCCTTCTATACCCCATCTTTTAGGCTGACCATTTAAGGAGGTAGAGGCGTAGTCAGGTCCCCTAAGGCTTTTAAAATAACGCAAATATGGCTTATTTGTTCTGAGATGAGACGTTAACATAAATATTTATTTATTCTATTCTGTAACTTATTAATTATTTCAAACTCAAAGTAAAATGCTTTTTCCTATATCCTGTTCTTAATATAACTGTTTTAAGTTATTTAACAGGCACATCATAAAAGACATGTCTATTAAGTGCTGCATACTGTGCTAGGGCCTCCATAGACATGATTTAGTTATCTTTTGTAGCACTTGTGGGTATGTGTTTTTATTTACTTATTTGCTTAGTTAGTTTTGAGACATAGTCTCACTCTGTTGCCCAGGCTGGAGTGCAGTGGCACTATCTTGGCTCACTGCAACCTCTGCCTCCAGGGTTCAAGTGATTCTTCTGCCTTAGTGTCTTGTATAGCTGGGATTACAGGCATGCACCCCCATGCCTGGCTAATTTTTTGTATTTTTAGTAGAGATGAAGTTTCTGCATGTTGGCCACGTTGGTCTTGAACTCTTGAACTCAGGTGATCTGCCCACCTCCCTCTCCGAAAGTGTTGGGATTACAGGCGTGAGCCACTGCTCGCGGCCTTGCTTTATTATTATTTTAAGTTTATAGGTGACATAATGGTGACCTACAAAGTTGGAAAGACTAGCTACTTCTGTGTACTGGAGCTGGAATTTCAGAGCAAGATTTTCTCAGTCCAAAAGTGTGTATTACGATTTTCCCTGTTAGTCTTATTTGACTTCATTTTATTGAACAAAATAAAAATATATTTTCCCCAAACAGAGTTGTGTAACGAACAATTTATCAGATTTGCATTTCTAGCTATAATGAGTTAACCTGCCCACTCTCTCTTCCATAAGCTTTTGGTTGCATTTTGTCTGTTTTGTTTCATCTCTAAGTGGGTCAATTAACATTCAGATTTATTTTTCTAACTCTTAAAATAGAGATTATATTAAAAAATGAAATTTCATACGACGTGAATACAATGTACATGTATTCCTGTATATTGAGGGAGAAACTCTTCCAAAGATGACTGGTAAATCGCTAGCATATTAGGATCATTTTATGCATTAAAACAAATCTTCATCGTTTTTGAACTCTTTGAGGCAGTCAGATGGTGATGGCTCTCCCAGTATCTGCAATGCATCAGGTTTTCATAGTCAACAAAATATTTCAAACTTTAAAATTTTTGTTATTTAAGAGTATTTAACATTTCAATTATTCAAATTTATTTTAGACTCTCTTCAGATTTACTGAGATATAACATCCAGGGCCTTGGGAACATGCTTCTTGAGTTATATAATTATATAAGTCTGGCATATTATTCAGGAACATTAGGGAATATCCTCAAAGGAAGAGTTTTCTCAGCATTAGTGTCAGAAGGTTTGCAAAATGCAATGCTTTTTTCAAGTTTAATAAGCATGCTTGATAATTGTGGAAGCTTATCTATTAATAAATAAGACTCACAGCAATAACTATAAAAGCACTGTTAAGTTAAATCTTCTAGAAGACAGGAATGAAGAATGGTCATTTAAACCGTCTGATTGTCTCCAGAATCATCTTAATTATTCATCAGTTATAATGCGCAAGAATTATATGATATTTTAGCTCACTTATATAGTTTTGTGCTGAATATATTTTAGGGTGTTTGGAGGCCATTTAGGTTATGATATTACAAAACAAGATACTCAGTCTCAAATTATGGAAAGAATTCAAATGAAGCCAACGTTTGAGCAGACTGAAATGTTCACGTGTGATGTTTTCCTGAGTCATTCTTTGGGGTTATATTCCAGGCCTGTGTTTTACCTTGTTGACAAACAAATACTCTGTAATAAATATATTCAAAACATCTGACATGGCTAACAGATTTATGTAACAATTCATAGGCAATTTGAATATTAAATTTATTGCCAACTATGTTTGTATATCTTTGTTCCTTTTAGCAGGGCAGAGACAATATTCTGTAGATGCCAATTCAAAGTTAAATGAATGTGAATGTTGGAAAAAATAAATTGATTTACAAGTAAATATTTTTCCCAAAAAATTGCTTTAAAAATATTTATATAAATTTTAATATCATTATGTAACATTTTACATTTGTATATAATATTTTAAAATATCTTTAAAATGTATAAATTGCTTCAAAATTTGTACTGTTTCAGTTGAATTTAAGAAATTAATATTTGCTGATCCTTTACTATAAGCTTGGCCCTGTCTTACCCCTATAATCCCTTTCCATACTCATCCCATACCCATTCCTGAGTTGCATATCATTCTCAGGGTACAGATGAGAACTCCAGCTCAGGATAATTAATTGATGAATGCAGAAAATAGTTATAATTACTTAAAAATCAAATGCTTATATATAATTGAAATAAAAGCAGTGATATCTTTGTGGTTCCACTAAAAACATTCAGTTTCCAAGATTCTATTTGATCTGAAAGGGAATTGGAATAGCAGCTTTGAAAATGATTTGAGTGAATATCTTCATGTGTCATTTCTGTTACCTGGAATTGCTTCTGTATGATCACGGCAGTGCGTCTAATAGTCAGAACCTGTGCTTTTGGGGAGAGGAGACAATGTACTCTTTTAATGGCTGTTCTCCAGATTCTATGAAATTTATGTGAAAATTTGATTTATTCAAACAAAACCTTCTCTTTTTCTGGCCCTCTCCCATAACAACTATAAGGAGTGGAGTGTGATTCCGAAAAAAAAAAAAAAAAAAAAAAAAAAAAGATGCAGTGTCTTTCAGCGAATGTTTCATGGTAGGCAAGTCACTTAGTATCTCTGACGATCTCCAGGTTGTTTTTGTTTTTGTTTTTGTGCTGTTTTATTTTTCATCTATAAACAAAGCCAGTGGAGTAGAGCAATGCTTTTTAACTTTATTAAAGCACTACAGCTCATCATTCAAATAAAGTTTATAGGTGGGTTTTGATATGTATAAACTGATGTAAGTTAAATTTTATTGGAATAAATTTTTATTGTAAGTTTCAGTTCACAGCATTTATTTATTATAAGGACACTAAATGAAACACTGAATTCATTTTAATGAACACAACAAATTTGAAATCTAAGTTTATGATGAACAGAGAAGTTATTCTATTAAGATTGGATTGCAGTTTATTTCTGTGTTCTATATTTCTTACAGAAAATCCTGACAGTTTTTAAAAACTTTTTTTATATAAGCTTAGCTTTCTTCTATTTCAGGACACTACAGTTAATCTAGAAATTTGGGGGAAAGATGTACTAAAAATGTTGTACATCAAAATTTAATTCCAAATGATATAAACTACTGACATCCTTTTAAAATTGTTTTCCAAGTGAAGGGGATTGATGATAGCATTTTAAAGGAGGATTTATTCTCTATGTTATGCACAAAATACTTTTAAAATATTTTGTATTATAGTCAGTGGTGTGTTGGTCAATGTTTAATAAGAGTCTCTTCAAATAAACAAACAAGTAAATAAACAAACCTGAATTTATAGTGTTTACCAATTTCTGTTGTGAAAATACTATCAGTATAGCTGATTTCAAGCTACTGCCAGGAAGTCACTGAACCAGAAGTTGAAAAATAATGTATCCAGTTAGCTCTCTCTTGCTGATTGTAGCCATCTCCAGTGCAATATCCAATGAACTGATGTTGTTTAAGTTTATAATGTAAAACACCTTTGATACCTTGGATTTTTGTTTGATAATAAATAACACTTTCAAAACAGACATTTATTTTTTGTGCCTGTGGTACTGAAACTTGGAGCTTCATTCTTATTCCTGATACATTATTATATTTTTAAGTATGATGGTGTGTTAGTGGAAGTATTTGGTTAAAAAAATCAGCAAAGCATACACACTGCTGCACCATTTCTTAAAAAATGTTAATATGAATTTTTCTATTAGGAAAATAGAATATGATCTTTCTCATTGCTTCAAATATCTATAGCAATACCTTACTTCAGGCTAACAAACACAATTTGATTTAAAGTTCTAAAACTTCTTGAATTTTTGATTTTCAGTAACAGAAAAAAATTGCCTTACCAAATTCACAATCTGCTAATTATATTAAGTATCTTGTTATTTCTTTTTTATGTAACATGCCATGATAATAAGAGCTCATTTTTAGTCTCTAATCCTGAAATTTTTTTGCCATTACTTCCTTACCTTCAGCACTGAAATTTCACACTTTTTCTAAAATAGTCTGTGGTATGTTAAAAACAGATCTAAAAGATATACTTTTTCTTGATTTATATGTCAAGTGTTTAATGTATATGCCAGCTTGAGTTTCTTAAAATAAGGAAAAACCATATAGTTAAATAGATTCTAAGTATCTAAATATCCATCTAATCAGCTGTAAATAGTTTCTTAAATCTTAGCCTTTTAACTAATCAAAACATTTCTTATGGCTTGCGTTCTTAAACATCAGAATTAATAGTACTTTTGCAGTATCTTGCTAATGTTGACTTTTCTGTTGTATTATCAATATCATAGAAAGTTTTTCCCAGATAGTGCACAGTCCTCCCTCATGGGTACTGCGGTCACTTCTTTGGATGTACATTTCCATTTTCAGATTTAAATTATAGATGCATGAATTTTGATAGTCTTAAATCCATTCACTTTAAGCTATAGACAATTGAGGGTCTAGTATTTGTTCTACTGTGCTCTACCTCAAAATAATGTTATAATTTGATAGCAACCATTGAAATATTGTCAAAACTTCATTAAGGAAATAAAATGGAGAATTGGTAATTTTTATTACCATACCAAGTGGTTTCTATGCCGAAAAAATTCTTGCTGGATTTGTCTTCAGGACACTTTGTGTTTTTAACACAAGGCAAAGACCATTTCATATCCTTCTATCAATGTCTTCATCATTGTTTAAACAATCATTTAGTGCCAGCAAAACAAAGTTTTTCATTTCATCATGATCCTGGCATATCTTATATTCATGATGAAATTTTCTTACACATTTCTCCTTTGAAACAGTTTGCTCTTTTATTTATTTTTATTTTTTTATTTTTCTTCTTTTATTATTATACTTTAAGTTTTAGGGTACATGTGCACATTGTGCAGCTTAGTTACATATGTATACATGTGCCACGCTGGTGTGCTACACCCACTAACTTGTCATCTAGCATTAGGTATATCTCCCAATGCTATCCCTCCCCCCTCCACCCACCCCACAACAGTCCCCAGAGTGTGATGTTCCCCTTCCTGTGTCCATTTGATCTCATTGTTCAATTCCCACCTATGAGTGAGAATATGCGGTGTTTGGTTTTTTGTTCTTGCGATAGTTTACTGAGAATGATGATTTCCAATTTCATCCATGTCCCTACAAAGGACATGAACTCATCATTTTTTATGGCTGCATAGTATTCCATGGTGTATATGTGCCACATTTTCTTAATCCAGTCTATCATCGTTGGACATTTGGTTTGGTTCCAAGTCTTTGCTATTGTGAATAGTGCCACAATAAACATACGTGTGCATGTGTCTTTATAGCAGCATGATTTATAGTTCTTTGGGTATATACCCAGTAATGGGATGGCTGGGTCAAATGGTATTTCTAGTTCTAGATCCCTGAGGAATCGCCACACTGACTTCCACAATGGTTGAATTAGTTTGCAGTCCCACCAACAGTGTAAAAGTGTTCCTATTTCTCCACATCCTCTCCAGCACCTGTTGTTTCCTGACTTTTTAATGATCGCCATTCTAACTAGTGTGAGATGGTATCTCATTGTGGTTTTGATTTGCATTTCTCTGATGGCCAGTGATGATCATTTTTTCATGTGTTTTTTGGCTGCATAAATGTCTTCTTTTGAGAAGTGTCTGTTCACGTCCTTTGCCCACTTTTTGATGGGGTTGTTTGTTTTTTTTCTTGTAAATTTGTTTGAGTTCATCGTAGATTCTGGATATTAGCCCTTTGTCAGATGAGTAGGTTGCGAAAATTTTCTCCCATTTTGTAGGTTGCCTGTTCACTCTGATGGTAGTTTCTTTTGCTGTACAGAAGCTCTTTAGTTTACTTAGATCCCATTTGTCAATTTTGTCTTTTGTTGCCATTGCTTTTGGTGTTTTAGACATGAAGTCCTTGCCCATGCCTATGTCCTGAATGGTATTACCTAGGTTATCTTCTAGGGTTTTTATGGTTTTAGGTCTAACGTTTCAGTCTTTAATCCATCTTGAATTAATTTTTGTATAAGGTGTAAGGAAGGGATCCAGTTTCAGCTTTCTACATATGGCTAGCCAGTTTTCCCAGCACCATTTATTAAATAGGGAATCCTTTCCCCATGGTTTGTTTTTCTCAGGTTTGTCAAAGATCAGATAGTTGTAGATATGCGGCGTTATTTCTGAGGGCTCTGTTCTGTTCCATTGATCTATATCTCTGTTTTGGTACCAGTATCATGCTGTTTTGGTTACTGTAGCCTTGTAGTACAGTTTGAAGTCAGATAGTGTGATGCCTCCAGCTTTGTTCTTTTGGCTTAGGATTGACTTGGTGATGCGGGCTCTTTTTTGGTTCCATATGAACTTTAAAGTAGTTTTTTCCAATTCTGTGAAGAAAGGCATTGGTAGCTTGATGGGGATGGCATTGAATCTGTAAATTACCTTGGGCAGTATGGCCATTTTCACGATATTGATTCTTCCTACCCTTGAGCATGGAATGTTCTTCCATTTGTTTGTATCCTCTTTTATTTCCTTGAGCAGTGGTTTGTAGTTCTCCTTGAAGAGGTCCTTCACATCCCTTGTAAGTTGGATTCCTAGGTATTTTCTTCTCTTTGAAGCAATTGTGAATGGGAGTTCACTCATGATTTGGCTCTCTGTTTGTCTGCTCTTGGTGTATAAGAATGCCTGTCATTTTTGCTCATTGATTTTGTGTCCTGAGACTTTGCTGAAGTTGCTTATCAGCTTAAGGAGATTTTGGGCTGAGACAATGGGGTTTTCTAGATATACAATCATGTCGTCTGCAAACAGGGACAATTTGACTTGCTCTTTTCCTAATTGAATACCCTTTATTTCTTTCTCCTGCCTAATTGCCCTGGCCAGAACTTCCAACACTATGTTGAATAGGAGTGGTGAGAGAGGGCATCCGTGTCTTGTGCCAGTTTTCAAAGGGAATGCTTCCAGTTTTTGCCCATTCAGTATGATATTGGCTGTGGGTTTGTCATAGATAGCTCTTATTATTTTGAAATATGTCCCATCAATACCTAATTTATTGAGTTTTTAGCCTGAAGCGTTGTTGAATTTTGTCAAAGGCCTTTTCTGCATCTATTGAGATAATCATGTGGTTTTTGTCTTTGGCTCTGTTTATATGCTGGATTACATTTATTGATTTGCATATATTGAACCAGCCTTGCATCCCAGGGATGAAGCCCACTTGATCATGGTGGATAAGCTTTTTGATGTGCTGCTGGATTCGTTTTGCCAGTATTTTATTGAGGATTTTTGCATCAATGTTCATCAAGGATATTGGTCTAAAATTCTCTTTTTTGGTTGTGTCTCTGCCAGGCTTTGGTATCAGAATGATGCTAACTCCCTAAAATGAGTTAGGGAGGAGTCCCTCTTTTTCTCTTGATTGTAATAGTTTCAGAAGGAATGGTACCAGTTCCTCCTTGTACCTCTGGTAGAATTCGGCTGTGAATCCATCTGGTCCTGGACTCTTTTTGGTTGGTAAGCTATTGATTATTGCCACATTTTCAGATTCTGTTATTGGTCTATTCAGAGATTCAACTTCCTCCTGGTTTAGTCTTGGGAAAGTGTATGTGTCGAGGAATTTATCCATTTCTTCTAGATTTTCTAGTTTATTTGCGTAGAGGTGTTTGTAGTATTCTCTGATGGTAGTTTGTATTTCTGTGGGATCGGTGGTGATATCCCCTTTATCATTTTTTATTGTGTCTATTTGATTCTTCTCTCTTTTTTTCTTTATTAGTCTTGCTAGTGGTCTATCAATTTTGTTGATCCTTTCAAAAAACCAGCTCCTGGATTCATTAATTTTTTGAAGGGTTTTTTATGTCTCTATTTCCTTCAGTTCTGCTCTGATTTTAGTTATTTCTTGCCTTCTGCTAGCTTTTGAATGTGTTTGCTCTTGCTTTTCTAGTTCCTTTTATTGTGATGTTAGGGTGTCAATTTTGGATCTTTCCTGCTTTCTCTTGTGGGCATTTAGTGCTATAAATTTCCCTCTACACACTGCTTTGAATGCGTCCCAGAGATTCTGGTATGTTGTATCTTTGTTCTCGTTGGTTTCAAAGAACATCTTTATTTCTGCCTTCATTTCGTTATGTACCCAGTAGTCATTCAGGAGCAGGTTGTTCAGTTTCCATGTAGTTGAGCGGCTTTGAGTGAGATTCTTAATCCTGAGTTCTAGTTTGATTGCACTGTGGTCTGAGAGATAGTTTGTTATAATTTCTGTTCTTTTACATTTGCTGAGGAGAGGTTTACTTCCAACTATGTGGTCAATTTTGGAATAGGTGTGGTGTGGTGCTGAAAAAAATGTATATTCTGTTGATTTGGGGTGGAGAGTTCTGTAGATGTCTATTACGTCCGCTTGGTACAGAGCTGAGTTCAATTCCTGGGTATCCTTGGTGACTTTCTGTCTCGTTGATCTGTCTAATGTTGACAGTGGGGTGTTAAAGTCTCCCATTATTAATGTGTGGGAGTCTAAGTCTCTTTGTAGGTCACTCAGGACGTGCTTTATGAATCTGGGTGCTCCTGTATTGGGTGCATATATATTTAGGATGGTTAGCTCCTCTTGTTGAATTGATCCCTTTACCATTATGTAATGGCCTTCTTTGTCTCTTTTGATCTTTGTTGGTTTAAAGTCTGTTTTATCAGAGACTAGGATTGCAACCCCTGCCTTTTTTTGTTTTCCATTTGCTTGGTAGATCTTCCTCCATCCTTTTATTTTGAGCCTATGTGTGTCTCTGCACGTGAGATGGGTTTCCTGAATACAGCACACTGATGGGTCTTGACTCTTTATCCAACTTGCCAGTCTGTGTCTTTTAATTGGAGCATTTAGTCCATTTACATTTAAAGTTAATATTGTTATGTGTGAATTTGATCCTGTCATTATGATGTTAGCTGGTGATTTTGCTCGTTAGTTGATGCAGTTTCTTCCTAGTCTCGATGGTCTTTACATTTTGGCATGATTTTGCAGCAGCTGGTACCGGTTGTTCCTTTCCATGTTTAGCGCTTCCTTCAGGAGCTCTTGTAGGGCAGGCCTGGTGGTGACAAAATCTCTCAGCATTTGCTTGTCTGTAAAGTATTTTATTTCTCCTTCACTTATGAAGCTTAGTTTGGCTGGATATGAAATTCTGGGTTGAAAATTCTTTTCTTTAAGAATGTTGAATATTGGCCCCCACTCTCTTCTGGCTTGTAGGGTTTCTGCCGAGAGATCCGCTGTTAGTCTGATGGGCTTCCCTTTGAGGGTAACCCGACCTTTCTCTCTGGCTGCCCTTAACATTTTTTCCTTCATTTCAACTTTGGTGAATCTGACAATTATGTGTCTTGGAGTTGCTCTTCTCGAGGAGTATCTTTGTGGCGTTCTCTGTATTTCCTGCATCTGAACGTTGGCCTGCCTTGCTAGATTGGGGAAGTTCTCCTGGATAATATCCTGTAGAGTGTTTTCCAACTTGGTTCCATTCTCTGCATCACTTTCAGGTACACCAATCAGACGTAGATTTGGTCTTTTCACATAGTCCCATATTTCTTGGAGGCTTTGCTCATTTCTTTTTATTCTTTTTTCTCTAACCTTCCCTTCTCGCTTCATTTCATTCATTTCATCTTCCACTGCTGATACCCTTTCTTCCAGTTGATCGCATCGGCTCCTGAGGCTTCTGCGTTCTTCACGGAGTTCTCGAGCCTTGGTTTTCAGCTCCATCAGCTCCTTTAAGCACTTCTCTGTATTGGTTATTCTAGTTATACATTCTTCTAAATTTTTTTCAAAGTTTTCAACTTCTTTGCCTTTGGTTTGAATGTCCTCCCGTAGCTCAGAGTAATTTGATCATCTGAAGCCTTCTTCTCTCAGCTCGTCAAAGTCATTCTCCATCCAGCTTTGTTCCGTTGCTGGTGAGGAACTGCGTTCCTTTGGAGGAGGAGAGGCGCTCTGCGTTTTAGAGTTTCCAGTTTTTCTGTTCTGTTTTTTCCCCATCTTTGTGGTTTTATCTACTTTTGGTCTTTGATGATGGTGATGTACAGATGGGTTTTCGGTGTGGATGTCCTTTCTGTTTGTTAGTTTTCCTTCTAACAAACAGCACCCTCAGGTGCAGGTCTGTTGGAATACCCTGCCGTGTGAGGTGTCAGTGTGCCCATGCTGTGGGGTGCCTCCCAGTTAGGCGGCTCGGGGGTCAGGGGTCAGCAACCCACTTGAGGAGGCAGTCTGCCCGTTCTCAGATCTCCAGCTGCGTGCTGGGAGAACCACTGCTCTCTTGAAAGCTGTCAGACAGGGACATTTAAGTCTGCAGAGGTTACTGCTGTCTTTTTGTTTGTCTGTGCCCTGCCCCCAGAGGTGGAGCCTACAGAGGCAGGCAGGCCTCCTTGAGCTGTGGTGGGCTCCACCCAGTTTGAGCTTCCTGGCTGCTTTGTTTACCTAAGCAAGCCTGGGCAATGGCGGGCGCCCCTCCCCCAGCCTCACTGCCACCTTGCAGTTTGATCTCAGACTGCTGTGCTAGCAATCAGGGAGACTCCCTGGGCGTCAGACCCTCTGAGCCGGGTGCGGGATATAATCTCGTGGTGCGCCGTTTTTTAAGCCCATCGGAAAAGCGCGGTATTCGGGTGGGAGTGACCCGATTTTCCAGGTGCCGTCTGTCACCCCTTTCTTTGACTAGGAAAGGGAACTCCCTGACCCCTTGCGATTCCCGAGTGAGGCAATGCCTCACCCTGCTTCGGCTTGCGCATGGTGCGCGCACCCACTGACCTGCGCCCACTGTCTGGCACTCCCTAGTGAGATGAATCCGGTACCTCAGATGGAAATGCAGAAATCACCCGTCTTCTGCGTCGCTCACGCTGGGAGCTGTAGACAGGAGCTGTTCCTATTCGGCCATCTTGGCTCCTCCCGGGACAGTTTGGTCTTTTAAAGGTGATTATTTCACTTTTTTAAAAAATAAATGATTCATATGCAATATTTTATTTGTTATACAAGTCCCCTTAACATATATGTCATGGTCAGTGACTGCCTGAGGCCCCATGGGTGGTAAAATAATTTAGTAATACAGGAATAAATTTAAAAGGTCAGATTGATTAAAGAAAAAATACGTTCCAAGGGAGCAGTGGGCAAGACAGCAGAGTCAAGGCTGTCTGCTATCTACAAACAAGAATGGGGCTGGAGGAGGAGTTTTATAAGGTCCTGCTGCTTTAGCTGAATGCTTGCAGACAGGAAGCTTCAGTGCAGGTGGGCTGTGAGTTGAGTGCCTGTAACAGGATGCTTTGGTGTTAATGAGCCATTTGCAGTTCACCCTATTTCTTGGAACATTCGCTCCTCTTTATCTCATCTAAGCCCATTTTTCAATTTGTCTTTTAACTCCTTAGGGCTCCACAATACACATGCTAAAACACCATAATATATACCAGTTTCAATAAGCAATGTTTTGTATATTTAGTTTTGGGGAGGAAAATCATTTTTGGAAAATATATATATATTTGTGTGTTTCTCTCTCTGTCTCTCTCTCTCTGTGTTTGTATGTGTGTAAAATGCAGACCATCTTATTCATAAAAAAGGCGGCAGCAAATGATCATTACTGATTTTAATTAAATGGTGATTTTGAATCACTGGCTCATAAAATGGTTCCTCCATGGGAGTATCCCCTGAATGGGGGTATTTATGAAGTGTCACTGCTTAAAATTACTTTTTAAAGGGTTGAATTAAAGTGTAATGTCACCAAAATGCTAGAATTATCCAGGCAGCTGTTTTCTTTTGTTAAGAACACATTTTTATTTATGTTTTATTTATATTTTTAGTCATATCCTAGGCATGGCAGCTTAGTGATTTATTCATGGGGAAGCACCTTCTAAATACACATTAAGGGTTTAAATTTTTGTCTTTCTTATTCCCATGCAAAGGATAGGAGGAGGGTGTAGGTAGCTGACTCCAAGGTTTTCCCCTTGCCTTTCTAGAGTGCTGATGACAGAGGTCAAATTCAACTCAAGATTTTCAACCTTCTGGCTAAATCATAGTTAACGCAACCCGTCATTTCCAACATGCTCTTTTCTCTCAAGGGAAGATTTGTTCATCTTCCAACATTACTCTCTTTCCTAATTTCTTTTCCATATTTTAAAAGTGCTCCTGCCCAGGACTGAGCTTTGCTAGAAAACATCCCTTCTCTCATATTTGGACTGCTTTCCATGTGCTATGATTGGGATTTGATTTCCAGTTTGTCAGTTTCTCATTAGGAAACTTGCCAGGTTTCCCCATATTTCAGTCTGCTTTTCTAACCATCCTCTTGTATATTTTTAAAGCACATAAAAATTTGGTGCTCTTTTTCCTTACCTCAGAACATTTTGATTTTTTGTCAGTGAATCATTTCAGTCATTTCTTAATTTGTTGACCACATGATCTTGATCCTTCTAGCAAGTTTTCTATCCTTTAGTCTCTGCCTGATTTTCCCCCAACTCCAAATGCAAGTCTATAATAATTTCCTCACATTTATTTTTGCCATTCTATATGGTGTTTCCCTGATCTCTGTCCGTTCTTACCTTGGCCATTTACTTTACGATCTGTTCTTTCCCTGGAAGTAAACAAGGTGAAAATAAACATAATCTGTCTGTACTTTCTTATATTTAGGAGTTTAAGCATTTTAATCTTAATAGGAAAATTATTGTTACATTATATAGTGCTACATCCATCTTCCAAATTTATAATTTGCTTTGTAAATATTCTAAAATAAGTATATCACTTACCATACTTCATAGGATTTTTTCCTCATAAAAATGATTCATTTCCTTAGTAAAGCAAATGAGATTACATATTCAAATATCAATGAAATGCCAGTAGCATATGCATATATTTGCTGATGTAATGACCAACCCATATAATTTCTGTTTATCTTCTCTGTTTCAATACACTGAGTTTGTGTACACATACACACACAACACAAACACACATACACACATATACATGACCAATGCGATCTTCGTTATTTGGTATTCATAGATCTTTTGTAGATTGGCTGGAAGGAATGGTCACTTTTCTTCAAAGACTTTCTAACTTATCAGTCATTCAATATAATTCAGAAACACTCATAATTGAAATTATAGTTATAAAGTTAACCTGGTATTCGGAGCTAGTTTCCTTTGTTCTTGATATCCTTTGGTGTTTAAAATACTAACATGTGCAGAAGATAAAACCATTATGGTTGTCATCTTTTTTCTGATGTTTTTTGTTTGCTTGTGTGGTATATGAGTGAGACTAGCATTCCACCTCTATATTTTGAATTTTTTAATGTTGAGTAGTATAGTGTATTAGTCTGTTCTTACATTGCTATAAAACATACTAGACACTGGGTAATTTATAAAGAAAAAATGTTTAATTGACTCACTCCTCCATATGGCTGGGGAGGCCTCAGGAAACTTACAATCATGGCAGAAGGGGAAAGGGAAGCAAAGCACGTCTTACATGGCAGAAGGAGAGAAAGAGAGAAGGTGGAAACACCACAGACTTTTCAAAGAACCAGATCTCCTGGGAACTCTATCAGGAAAACAGCATGGGGGAAGTTCACCCACATGACTTAATCACCTTCCACCAGGCCCCTCCTCCAAAACCTGTGAATTACAATTCATGATGAGATTTGGGTGGATATGCAGCCAAACCATATCAAGTAGCTAATGAAATTCATAGAGATGCAAAATAAAAAATATTCCTTTCCATTTTCATATGCACCTTACATAAACTTATGGGCCAGGATTAACCCCTTCCCTATTCCTCTTTTTGCTCTATCTATAGTATGAGGTACAACAGGTTAAGTATTAAAAAAATTTTAGACACACCCACTAGAGTGATAGACATTTTTATGTCTTTTTGGTATTTAAAATTAATGTACCTGATTTTTCCTAAACACATGTGTTAGGATCACATATTTCCAAATGACCAGGTAACATTTATAGTGTGCCATGAAAAAAAGGAGGCAAAATATACAACTTAACATCTTGAAAAAGTGTAGATGCTGGTTCAATGGTGAGATTTAATCCTGAAGAATATTCTTTATAGGTAGAGTACATAATGGTTTTGGAATAGCTAACCTCTGTGCAAAACAGTGGTTTACCAATTATCTACATTTTTTCTTGTTAAACATTATGAATTGTTTTAAGAAAATACTTTTTACAAAAATACCTCTGTTTATAATACTTATCAACGAAAGGCAGAGACTGCTTTTTGTGTATCCAACCTCCATTTCTTCTTCTTCTCTAGTAAAAGAAGCCAATGCTTAGCTATAAGACTACATTTGCTAGGTTATGTTTGGGTGTGGTCATGTGAATTACTGCAGGCCAGCGAGAAGTAGGCAAAGGGGCATGAGGTTTTAGAGAAGGTTGCTTCAAAGGAGTAGATTCAGCTGGAGGGTTCTACGCTTTTTAAATTTAAAAAAAAAAATTTTTTTTTATTTTGCCCTTGCCGCTCCCTCCTTCCTCTGCCTAGTAGGTGAAGTCCTGTGGACTTGCAATTCACTTCTTAGTTCAGAAGGGGAACTTGAGTACAGAGGTCAAATGCTAAGGATAGTTTAGTGAAAGGATGGAAGAGTCTTGAGTCTCTCCTGACTTTGCAGAATCACCATGCCAGGGTTAGACTGGTTAATACTGGATCTTTCTTTCACCAGAGGTCACTGGGGCTCTGTTACAAGTAGCTGATGTACTCTCCATCAGATACTGAAAGAAAATTGGGGTTCTCCTGGAAATCAAATTCTGTCTTGCCTTTTTCTTAAAGTGAATCTTTATTTAAAGGGTTGATTTTTACAAAATGCATCCAACTTTTTGCTCAAGAGCATATAACTAGAATAGAAAAATAAAAAGTTTAGCAGTATCACTAAAGGTCATCTCGTTAAGTCCTCAAATATTATTTTAAATTACTATGATGAAGAAATAAATGGATTCTAAATATCTTTATAAAGTAAGTGTCTTATTGTTATATCTTTTTTCCATTATTAGTTTTCTTCCAAAATGTATTTTTAATTTCTGAAAGTACAGTTAAAAAATTAATTTAATATTTACATAAAAATAATTTTTTAATTTGTATAATGCTATTTTTGAGATCAAGAAAATGGAGTAATACTTTTGCTTTTTTAGAATCCACTACTGTATTATGGTAATCTTATTTACAGTATATGAAGTAAAATATGTAGGCAGAAATGAGACTTTTCTCTAGTAAAAAGATTTTTTATTAATTATGTAACATATTAAAAAGCATTTTATTCCCATATTTTTACTACACATTTCAGGTGGCTTTAATAACAGTGCTTATTTAAAATGGACATAGTTTTAGTTTTATAATAGAATGGACTTTTTAAACAGATTATTTAGGTACATGCTGTCTTAAATTACATAATCTAATATAAAAATGAAAATAATGTGATTGTAGGGTACATTTTACTTCATACTCCTTTTTCACTTAAAATATGTAAGTATTTTAAAATTATTGTTAAACAGACTTAATAATGGTTTAAGTGGTGGGATTACTTTATCAAGTTAGTACAGTATAAAGTGCTGAAGCATTTCCAAAGTGTTTGGCACTAATATTTCCAAAGTCTTGCTTTTTTTCTTTCAGAAACAATGCTGTTAATAACCATCTTCATGTACATAGTTTATTTTTCTGTCTTCTGTAAGTTGCATTTAGGTAATGATAACTTTGATAAACCAGTGTACTTCCAGAGAATGGCATCTATAAAATTAAAGCCTGTAAGTAACATACTTTATGATAAATAGTTTTAGAACTCAAGAAGATGAATTGTAAAATAAAAGAAGTGGTAACCGTGGGGAGAGGATTATTGCCTTCCAAATTCCTGTTAGAAAAAGGACTTGTATACTTTCTTCATTGATTTCTATACTTTCCTCATTGGGTCAATGATTTTTTATATCAACTGGGTGGGAGTTTTTAAAACGATTTCTGTACATAATAACATTTTCTAAAAGTAAAATGGCCAACTAATAATGACATGGAAATCTTGAAAACAGGGATAGTATTTATTTGATGCTTAAATTGTGCTGTGTTCCAGTGGGCCCCAACATTTCCTTTCTGCACTGCCCTAGCAGGAGTTCTCCATGAGGGCCCCGCCCCTGCAGCAAACTTCTGCTTAGACATGCAGGTATTTCCCTACATCCTCTGAAATCCAGGTAGAGGTTTCCAAATCTCAGTTCTTGACTTCTGTGTACCTGCAGTCTCAACACCACGTGTAAACTGCCAAGGCTTGGGGTTTTCACCCTACGAAGCCATTGGCTGAGCTTTACCTTGGCCCCTTTAAGCCATGGCTGGGGCAGCTGGGATGCAGGGCACCAAATCCCTAGGCTGCACACAGCAAGGGGGCCCTGGACCCACCCCAGGAAACCATTATTTCCTCCTAGGCCTCAGGGCCTGTGATGGGAGGGGCTGCCACAAAGGTCTCTGACATGCCTTGGAGTCATTCTCCCCATTGTCTTGGTGAATAACATTCAGCTCCTTGTCACTTGTGCAAATTTCTGCAGTAGGTTTGAATTTCTCTCCCAGAAAATAGTTTTTTCTTTGCTATTGCCTTGTCAGGCTGTAAATTTTCCCATCCTTTATGCTAGCCATCCTCTTGAATGCTTTGCCACTTAGAGATTTCTTCTGCCAGATAGCCTAAATAATCTCTCTCAAGTTCAGTGTTACACAGAGCTCTAAGATAGGGCCAAAATGCCTCCAGTCTCTTTGCTGAAGCAGAACAAGTGTCCTCTTTGCTCCATTTACCAACAAGTTCCTCGTCTCCATCTGAGACCATCTCAGCTTGGGCTTCATTGTCCATATCACTGTCAGCATTTTGGTCCAAGTCATTCAACAAGTCTCTAGGAAGTTCCAAACTTTTCTAAATCTTCCTGTCTTCTGAGCCCTCCAAGTCTCCAGGAAGTCCCAGACTTTCCCACATTTTCCTGTCTTCTGAGCCCTCCAAACTGTCCCCACCCCTGCCTGTTATCCAGTTCCAAAGTCAATTCCACATTTTCAGGTATCCTTATAGCAGCACCCCACTCTTCTGGTACCAATTTACCATATTAGTCTTCTCTCATGCTGCTATGAAGAAATACCTGAGACTGGGTAATTTATAAATAAAAGAGGTTTAATTGACTTGTGGTTCAGCACGGCTGGGGAGGCATCAGGAAACTTACAATCATGGCAGAAGTCACCTCTTCATCGGGTGGCAGGAAAGAGACTGATAGCTGAGTGAAGGGGGAATCCCCTTATAAAACCATCAGATCTTGTGGGTACTTACTCACCCTCTTGAGAGTAGCATGGGCGAAACCAACGCATGATTCAGTTACCTCCCACATGGTCCCTACCACCACATGTGGGGATTCTAGGAACTGCAATTTGAGATGAGATTTGGATGGGGACACATGGCTAATACAGTTTTGACATCTGTTACCTCTGCCCAGTTGAGTTGATGTTTACTAAGAGTCTTATTCATTCTCAAAATAAGTAGAGAGTGTCAGGAGGGCTGAGTGGTTTAAGGTACCAGATTCCGAATGATTTCTTCTAATGTACATGTTATCTTCATTGAGTCATAAGACACACAATATTTACATATACAGAAAAGATGTTAATTTTTTAATGAAAGTTAATGTTTCAAAAGTGTTCATAAAGAAAATACTCAAATAAGTGACCTTGTGACACAAATATATAATATTAGAAAAAAAACAAAAATAGAATGAGTATGCTGGCTCACACCTGTAATACCAGCAACTTGAGACGCCAAGGTGGAATGATCACTTGAGGCCAGGAGTTCCAATACCAGCCTGGACAACATAGATTCTGTCTCTCAATAAAATAAAAAGTAAAACAGCAGGCATTAGTTCAGCCATTCTGGAAGATTGTGGAGTGATTTCTCAAAGATGTAATGACAGAAATAACATTCAATCCAGCAATTCCTTTACTGAGTGTATACCCAAATGAATATAAACCCTTCTATTATAAAGACCCATGCACAGATATGCTCATTGCAGAACTATTCACAATAGCAAAGACAAGGAATCAACCTAAATGCCCATCAGTGATAGACTGGATAAAGAAAATGTGGTACATACACACCATGGAATACTGTGCAGCCATAAAAAGAACAAGATCTTGTCCTTTGCAGGGACAAGGATGGAGCTGGAGGCCATTATCCTTAGAAAACTAACACAGGAACAGAAAACCAAATACTACATGTTCTCACTTGTAAGTGGGAACTAAATAATGAGAACATATGGACACATAGAGGGGAACAACACACACTGGGATCTTTCGGAGGGTGGAGGGTGGGAGGAGGAAGAGGATCAGGAAAAATAACTAATGGGTACTAGGCTTAAAACCTGGGTGATAAAATAATCTGTACAACAAACCTCCATGAGACAAGTTTACCTATGTAATTAATATGCACTTGTACCCCTGAACTTGAAATGAAAGTTTAAAAAAATAAACAATAAAGAAGTCTGTACCAGTTTGTTTTGCATTTTAATATGAGGGCTTAATTTGCACGCAAAAAATAGCAGGATGTGATGGCATGTGCTAGTTACATGGGAGGCTGAGGTGGAACGCTTCCTTGTGTCTAGGAGGTGGAGGCTGCAGTAAGGTATGACTTCACCACTGTACTCCAGCATGGGTGACAGCAAGAACCTGTCTCAAAAAGAAACAAAAACAAACAAATGAAAAAAAAACCCCAAAGTATGAATATATTTACTCAGGTGATAAGTGTATTTTCTCCCTCAGAAGAAATTGAAGTCATACATTATAAGTGAATTATGGGTGTCATCTATGCAAGAAATATTACCTGGGCTTACAACCATTTTCTTCTATGTTAAGTAAATCCTAATTTATGCATCTAAATAAAATTTAGTGTGAATATACATATGTATGCTTTAGTCAATAATTGTCTAAGGAACAAATATATCTTTCACATGTATCCTATGTTAAACAATATTTTAATTAACCATTCAATCATCCATTTTGATTTTAAACCCTCCTACTTACCTTTATTCTGTGTTGGGTCTTCTGTTTCCTTTATCTAGGGAACTCTTGCTTGGTTTATTTTCTCATCTTTGTAAACCATATCCTCCATTTGATCTGAATCAAGGGCATCTGAAGAGATACCGGAAAAGTTATTTGTCTGAAAGTGATGTTATTGTGCTCCTTAACTCTGCTGATAATTTATCTGGACATACTGTTCTTCATTGACAGTTATTTTTCTTTAGATTTTTTAAAGGCATTTCTTGACTCAATAGTAGAGATGCTGTAGTGTTCCTGTTCAGAAATCTGAGGGCATTTCAATGCTGACTCTTTGAATATGATCAGATTTGTCCCTCTATGGTACATTCATAATCTCTTTATAACCAAGTTCTGAAAATTCCCAATGCTATGTCTTTTCGTGAGCCTATTTTCATCCTTTGCGTTGGAACTTTTCAGTCTGGACCCTATACCTTTCAGTCTTGGGAAATTTTACAAAACATTCTGATGATGCTATTTTTATTTTCTAACTTCTTTCTTAATGGAAATACTTTTATATGAATGTTGCACTTCCTGAGCTGGTTCTCTTATTTTGTACAGTCTTTTCTCATATATTACATTTCTTTGCAGATATTTGTTGTACATTCTGGGAATATTCTGGGGAATTTTCTTAATTTACCTTTCATTCATTCTGTCGAATTCTATTGAGCTTTAAGTTTCAGAAAAATATTTTGAGTTTCTAACAGCTCTTTTTGTCTTTTCTTTTATATAATCCTGCAGTATATTTTCTCATCTCTCTCTTTTTCTCTTGATATTCATGACTGAATTTTTAAAGAAATGTTCTTTTTCCTGAATCTTCTCTATTGCATCCTACTATTTACTGTTTTCTTTGGTTAGCTTTGTGCATATTATTTTTTACCTTCCACATCAGAGACTTTGGTTTGGATAATTTTTTATTGGTGTCTAATCGTGACTGAGTAGAAGACTGTAGCTGGTATAAAGCTCAAATTATAGGAGTTGAATATATTGATTTTTGAACTTCCTTGAAGATGATCTTTGTAGGCTTCTTAATGAGGAACAGTGGTTTCTATATCTTTAAGTTCTTCTTTATTAGGACATCATATTCTCCAAAGTACAGTATTCCAGTTTTTTGGTTTCTTCTTTTGGAGGATATAATCTGGCTGGTATAGTACTAGAAGCCAAGTGGGAGAACCAGACTGAGAGTTTTAGAATTTTGCATTTCTTAAGCATATATTCATCATTTCTCATGTATTGATATGATATTCCAGGTTCCAAGATCCTCTATTTCAGCTTCTTTCAAATAGAAAATCTCTAGACTTCTGCCAAGGTGAAAGAGAAGTAGACAACCAGTGGCCTGGGCAGGGTAGGTGGGGGATGGTGAGGCAGGTGGGTGCAGGTGTCTCATATTCTAACTGCTTCTCAAACAGTTTCACCCATGCCTACCCATTTGCAATCCCCTTTACCCCAAATTCCTAAAGTTCCTGGGTGTACAAATCTCAGACATTTTGAGGAATTTGCCCTGTGCATTGGGTTATTCCTCAGCTTTCCCTACTGCCAGTTAAGGAAGCAGCTTTGTCAAGCATTCTATCTACCACCTTTTGAGTTTCCAGAAATGTATTGCTATGTCTCCTCTCATTTTCTCTGATATTTGTGGCTGGATAATTTTTTATTGTTTATTTGCCATAGCTTTTGCGTTTTTCTGAAAGAAAGCAAAATTAATAGTATCTGTGCTACGTGCCATCTTAGTGCAGTAGCTCAAGGGTTGCATTTTCATAAATTAACATTGATCATGATGTGAAAATTGGATTATAAAAGGCAGGAATGGAAGCAGGGACATCTGTTACAAGGCTGTTTTAGCAGTCAGTGCAAAAAAGGGCAAAGCCTTGAGCAAAGCGGTAGACAGTGAAAATGAAGCAAAGTGGGTATTTTCAGCTACATTTTGGACATAATTTCATGTGACAAATATTGGGAAGGAAAGAGAGACTAGAGTTTTAAATATCTGACTGTGTGAGTATAGTTTTCCTAAAATAGGAAGAAATCAAATAGGAACATGGTGGAGATAGATCACATATTGTATTTAGTATCTTTTATATTGTAATTCTTGTCAATATTCAAATAGCATTGTCAAATAAATGTAAGTGTCAGAAGTTCAAGACTGAGAGATCTGAGTTAGAAATATAAATTTAGTGTCATCAGCATGCCAATAGTATTTAAAACCATGAAGCTTCTTGATACCTAGGAGGAGAGTCTATCGAAGAGAAGGCTGGGAGCAAGGCCCTATACACTCCAATCTTTAGGGGCAAAGAAGAGGATGAGAAGCAACAGAAGGGTATGGAAAAGTGGTCAGTGAGAGAAAAAGAAAACCCTGGACCTTTAGGTGCTTAAAGAGAAAGGGGGTATTGATTCTGTTGAAAGATGCATTAGGACATATACCTAATGCTAAACGATGAGTTAATGGGTGCAGCACACCAACATGGCATATGTATACATATGCAACAAACCTGCACATTGTGCACATGTACCCTAAAACTTAAAGTATAATAATAATATAAAATAAAATAAAAAAAGAAAGATGCTAAAATGCCAAGTAAAATGATGGCACAAGTGATTATTGGATTTTACAATTTGAAGATTATTGTGACCCTTGACTAGCATAGTGGAGAGGATAGAAGCATGAATGGAAAGAGTTGAATAGAGAGTTGATGTTTCTAAAGAGAGACTTAATACACCCAGTTCTTTTCTACAAAAGGGGACTTGATAAAGAGTTAACAGCCTGAGCGATATGTGGAAACACAAAAGAGATGTTGTAACCTATATTGATTAGTGTGTCTATAGAGATTCTGAAATCATCTTAATCATTAAGAAAAAATGTATGTTTATAATCACATATGTTATAACCGTAAAACTTTATGTTATATATTGTGACACTTCATGGGTAATGTAGCACTAAACTATGAAAAGTGTATTTATCACACCTTTCTATGCATTGTTGCTATTTTTAAGACCATAGGTGAAAAAACAGAATCTGTCAAATTTTGGCTTAATGCAGTGTTTCCTGTTTATTGGCAACTGTTTTTAATCACACTACTGAGAACATGCTAGACGGCCTTATGATTTTTTCAAGTGGATTACATCATTATTTACATTCTATAATTTTACTTCTCTTTTACAAAATAAAGAGCTTGAAGCTGTGCTTTGCATTGAGAAAGTGCGGCTAGAATTGATTTAGGTAACCCATCTGTATCATTTTAACGCAAAGCAGACCATGGGTTTATTATTGCCTAATTTTTAAAACAGAATGTCCTGAGGAGGTTTAATTTACTGATGATTCAGAACTGCTCATTGGAACCTATAGCTCTTGCTTCATGGGGATTACTGAAGGTTGGATCAGAACTACAGAGCAATAATGCACATAATATTCTCCTGGGTTGCTGTGAACAGCAGAGGCTGCCACTTGTGTGTAGCTTTATTTAAACAGAAAGTTTGCCTTGAGCTGTACGCTTGGTTATATTGTAATGTAAAAATTGGGGATGGGTTTGGGAGTGGGTGA
This sequence comes from Homo sapiens, assembly GCF_000001405.40. Lineage (NCBI taxonomy): Eukaryota > Metazoa > Chordata > Mammalia > Primates > Hominidae > Homo > Homo sapiens. The sequence continues at coordinate 14,791,571 of NC_000008.11, read as the reverse complement.
CTGATGATTTTGTCAGCTCTAGAAACTTCTATTAGGTGAATGGTTTTAAATAGATAACTACAGGGGATGTGGATTTTAGGTGGTTAAAGGAAAAATAGGATTTTTTTTTTTTCTTTTATTTTCTGTGTGAGCTAGATTTGTTCAGCATACCAGTTAGCTGCTGACCACTTGCTTCTCAGGATAACTCCTAGAGGCGCACTCCCACAATGGTGAGGTGAATGGAGCCTCCTAGTGCCATCCAATGCAAACGGGATGCATATGTGCTCAATGTCAGAATAAATTCGATCTCACACTCTTGAAAGAAAAGCAGTCTCTGGCAAACTAAAAGAAGTAATGTACAATTTAAAGGATGTGGTATTAGAGTTAGATTTTGGAAAAATAATTATTTTTCTAGTTAAAATATTAACATGTACATTATAGGAAGTATAGAATATTAAAATAAAAAACCTCTATCACTCAGAGATTTTTGTTATAATAGCAATAATGATCATATTGTATATGGCATTGTATCCTATTTTTCTTTTTTTTTTCTTTTTTTTTTGAGACAGAGTCTCACTCTGTTGCCCAGGCTTGAGGACAGTGGTGTGATCTTGGCTCACTGCAACCTTTGCCTCCCGTGTTCAAGAGATCCTCCTGCCTTAACCACTCGAGTGGGTAGGATTACAGATGCGCACCACCACCCTGCGCAAATTTTTGTATTTTTAGTAGAGACCGAGTTTCACCATGTTGGCCAGGTTGGTCTCCAACTCCTGACCTCAGGTAATCCACCCACCTTGACCTCCCTAAGTGCTGGGATTATAGGCGATAGCCAACGTTCCTGGCTGTATACTATTTTCTGCTGCGGCATAATCAATTTCCAGTGTTAGTGTAGTTATGATCTTTGTTTTCAATTATTCTTCCAGTTTGTCTACTGGAATCAATCTTATTACTTAACTATCTCCGTATTATTGGATATTATGTTTGTTTCTTACCTTTAATTCTTAGTTATTTATATGTAGTTACTTAGTTATTATAGAATCATTCATTCTATAAATACTCTCTTTGTTAACAAATGTTTTGGACTATTTTCCAACCTAAAAATAGAATATTGGGTTAGATTATAAACATTTTTTATGCGTTTGATACATATTGCCAAATTTTATTCCAACTGAAATACAGTGTACATTTGCATCAGTCATATGTGAGAATGCTATTTCATCACAGTTTCATTGACAAGATTATTGCTGTCATTATTTTTAATTATATGTTACAAAATAACTGTTTTTGCAATTTTAATTTACGTATATTTGATTACAAGAAAGTTCAATGCTTTTTAGTGGAATTACTTTTTGGTCTTTGGTATCTATGTCGTGTAAATGATATATTTAAGGACAGACTTGAAACCACTTTGAAAGCACTGGCCCTCAGAAAGTCGTCTTTCACATTTCCTATTTCTAATGAACACATACATGCATTCAATGGGCAGAATGCTGTCTTGATTATGTAAATAAATTGACAGTATTTTTTTCTAAGGCATTTGATATGACCACTGAAGATTTAAGTATTCAATTTACATTTATTATTTATATGTTATTTACATGAATTTACATTTAATCAATGTACATTTATGTAACACCAAACATACGTTATAATGGGAGAAAAATTGAAAACATTCTCTGTTTTCATGGGCCTGAAATTTTATTGAAGAAGCGAAAATTAATGGAATACACATACATGGAAGTAAATGTAAAATTTTACTGTGGTAAGTGGTATAAGTTTATACCACTTATTTTGTACTGAGAGTACAAAAATAGTTGGACTAACTGGTCTAGTCAGAACAATAAAAGAAGCAGAGATGCTCATGATGAGATCTAGAGAAAGAAGTTAGTAATGAAAGACAGTAGGATTGTTCCAGGAAGTACAAGCTGCATGTACAAAGGTCCTGGGTCAGAGAGGAAGATGGCTCACTTGAATAGGGAGAGAATCATGACTCCACAAGAAAGGAGAAAGAATGAAAGGTCTAAAGCATGAAGAGCCTTGTAAGTTTTAGATACTAAAATTGTAAACTCATATATTTTGGAAATTATATCATGAAACTAACACAGTTGATCTTCATTATTCATGAATTCTTGTGGTTGTGAATTTGCTTACTTGCTGAAATTTATTTGAAACACAAAGATCAATACTTGGGGATCCATTACAGTCATTTGTAGACATGTGCCTGTGTAGAGTATTAATATTAAAATGTTGTAATTATCTGATGTGCATATTCCCAGATGAGGTTGAATGAGGCAGACATTCTACCTTGTTTCAGTTTACATACTGTAAACAAGTACATTTTTTCATGGTATATTTAGTATCACACTTTTTTTGCATCTTGTGCTCCTGGTGGATGACTTCACTGTTTAAAATGGCCCCCAAGCATCGTGCATAGTGCCCAGTGTTTGTAAACACAACAGGAGTGTGATGTACCTTATGAAGAGAGTGCATGTGTTAGATAAGCTGTGTTCAGAAATGAGGCGCAGGGTTGTTGGCTGTGATTCCAATGTTAACGAGTCCAAAAATATGTATTAAATAAGGTGTTTTCGAACAGAAGGACATATAAAACAAGCATTTAATTTATTATTATTATTATTTAGTTTTTTATAGAGACAGAGTCTAGCTATATTGCCCAGGCTGGTGTCAAACTCCTGGCCCCGAGCAATCTTCCTACCTTGGCTACCCAAAGCACTGGGGTTACAGGTGTGAGCCACTGTGCCTGGTCTAAAACAAGTCTTTATATTGATCAGTTCACAAAAATGTTTTAACGGGAGGCTGGCAGGAAGCTAGCGCTTTATTTCTTGCAGGAGCAATGGTTCGGTATTTGCTAATGCTTGTTCATGACAATTTCATAGAACATAATTGTTGGTAACAAAAAGAGTGGATGTATTTATTTAAAAAATAATACCTAACATTTACTATGCATATACACGTATTGCCTCTTTAACTTTTCTACCACTATGTGAGATTGGTATTATTATTATTACTGATGTTCCATGATTTAAATGAAGAATCTTAGAAGTTAAAAAGTTAAGCTACTGTCCCCAGAAGAATTATGGTAGGAACAATAGCTGCCCCAACAAAATTTCACGGTTAACAAAGTATCTTCCACTTTTTGTGTCATTTGATTTCCACAGACATTTCTGAGGGTAATAGGGAACATTTTCTTCCTCCTAATTGGCTAATGAGGAAGCCAACACTTAGAGAAATTAATCGCCCAAGGTTCCCTTTCCAACACACATTGTTCAGTGCCCTTTCCACACTGTCTATGTTTCTGGAAATAATAATGAAATTAGCATGGAACAGACACCCTATATTACTGCATTATGTGCTTTATTCTAGAGACCTTGACAGATAGAAGACTTAGTCCTTTATCCCCAGGGAAAGGAAAAAGAAAGAAATTTTGACTAAAAATATATCCGTTATTTAGGTAATGATATCACAAAATGCTTTCTACCACTCACAGTAACTTTCCTTTTGGTAAATATGATGCATCTTTTTCCAGAATCTAGCAACATTTTTGGAATAAAAAATGAAGAGCTTGTCTAGAAGACTGATTATCGTGGTCATCTGATATATTTAATATATTTTAACTAAATGGCAACTAGGGATTGCCTGAACAGGCCTCAATCATAGTTATCTTTGATACTGAAACATTTGGCTATGTTATTCCTCTTATACAGAATAGGAATATTCCTTTTTTTTTTGAAATGGAGTTTCACTGTTGTTGTCCAGGCTGGAGTGCAGTGATGAGATCTTAGGTCACCGCAATCTCCGCATCCCGAGTTCAAGCGATTCTCCTGCCTCTGTCTCCCAAGTAGCTGGGATCACAGGCGTGTGCCACCATTCCTGGCTAATTTTGTAATTTTAGTAGAGATGGGGTTTCTCCATGTTGGTCAGGCTGGTCTCAAACTCCCAACCTCAGGTGATCCGCCCACTTTGGTCCCCCAAAGTGCTGGGATTACAGGGGTGAACCTGTATCCCGCCCGGCTGGAATATTCCTTCTTAATTAGGATAAAACTCAGTTACTACTGTTTTTAAAGAGTGATTCCACTGAACTAATTATCTTGCACTTTGTAAAGTTTACAACTTTTTATTTTACTATTTCTAATTATATTTCTTATTAGTATATTATTACTAATAATATACCATAAGTATATTTTACCAAGTATATTAAGTATTTCTTCCTTCTACAAGAAATAAATAAAGCACCAGATTCCCGCTAGCCTCCCATATATAAGTTTGGGAGGTTTGCACAACTCTAAGTTATTACTTATTGGGAGGATACACCTGAATTTCATTGTCTTGTGCTGACATTTCCCCCGAAGTCTTCGGCTTCTTCTGTTTTGTTGTAACAGCCCCTGCAGATGGGGATTTTAAGTCTTGGATTTCTCTCAGTTCTGCACATGGGGATCTTTCTGTTGCTTCTGTGTCATATGGCTCCACATAAAATTAGGTGAGCTGTTAATGAACCATCTATTTTCATGCTATTCCCAGTCCCAAGATTATGATGTTACTGCTCCTGATTCACAGTGAGCTTGTAGGAAAGAGTTTAGGAAGAGTCCCTGGTGCTCTAATTTTCAACCTACCAGGTATCCAGGTACATCTATTTTCTACCCTTTCCCCTCCTCTAATTTATCATACAGCATGGTTGTATGGGGGCTGTCTTTATCTAAGACTTACTTAATCTATGTGTTTTTTGTTTTTTTTTTTTAAACCTGCTTTCCAACTCTTCCACTCCTTGTAAAACATGGGATCTTTAGCTCCTCTCTGGTTTGGATATTTTGCTTCTAATTTATGACATATTCATTGTAATTTCATGATTCCCTTTAGATATTTGTAATTCTAAAAATAAACTCCAATTAAACTCCATAGACTTTCTGTTTGTTTATATATTTGTTTATATGTGTATTTATTTAAGGGAGGCTTCAGCATCTCTTTTCTGAGACAGTGAATGGCTTAAGATAGCTTAGCTGTTTCAGTTGAAAGGGAAAACAGCACTCAAATAATTGGTTAGTATTGAAAAGTGCTACATTCCACTATATAGTACCATTCTCATGTACGTTGTATCATGGTACATAAAACTGAACCATGATAAAATATGGTCATTTTTCCAAGTTTCATGGAAATTTCATAATCCTTTCATTTCATAAATAAATCTTTATTTATTCAAATATATTGTTGGGCTCATTATACAGGACATACTAATTCCTCAGAGTAAACTTTAGGGAACTTATGTATTTGTCTTTCAATGCTCTATTGATGGTTTGTAAATGCTCATTTGTATTTAAAATGTTTAATGAAATGTTACAAATGATTCTGACCAAAGACCACTGTCTGATAAAACTCGTCAAAGACAAGTTTGAAAGACAAAACGAGAACTAATGTTTTCTTCTGTAGTGACAGGCTTAGATACTATGGAATAAGAAAAATTTGAGAAGTTAAAATAATAATCTCATTTTTTTCAGTATACCACTTACTTGATAATTTCAGAAATTAGGACAATAAAGTCTTAAAAATAAAGGGGATATATCTCTAAACAGAAATTTTCTTTCGTTTTCATAGTATCTGCAAATTGTGAGTCACTTTTTTTGGAGATAAGTTTTTTAAATGAGAACTGGATTCTGGGAGTAGAAAAAAAAAACCAAAAGCAAGTGGCACAGCAGGGATAGAAGTTTCCACAATTAGCCTTGGGAGAAAGTAAGAAACTCTGTGAAAGTAAAAATGAATATGAGAACCACAATCCTACGCCTGCTTAGGAATAAAGCTGAAATGTACAAAAAGAGTAACAAGTTAAAGCCCGTGTGAATTTGTTTATTTGGGATAAAGTAAGTGGACGTATCAGAAAATAACAAATGGTCTGTAGTATAAATAGCTTAAATTAAACTCAAATCTTTAAAGTTATGGTACTGCAAAAATGGTCAGAACATTGTCAAGCTTTTGGTTAAAGATCCACATGCTGGGGTCAGGACATGGGAACCACCTTAGTATTACCTGCGACAAACTCACTGAAGCATTAGGGAAGTTTCAAGAGCAACTATATTGACTATTGGGTATTTTTCGATAGTCACTGAGACTAATTTAATGTTATACCATGCATTTTAAATTTTGGTATCGTTATGTATGTGAAATTAAAAAAATATATATGGATACAGATTTCAGAGTTTCCTTGCAAACTTGGGTTTCCATCTGTGTTTTATTTTTAATATTTCACATTCTTTAGCTAGGCATTGAAATCCAGATCTCAGTTGAGAAAGGACAACTTTTTGTCTGGTTCTTTTTGAAATAACTTTTATTGGATAAATTTCTGATAGTAGAAATATTGTATCAAAGAGTATATACTTGTGAACTTTATAACAATTTCCAGATAGCAATCAAGTAAACATAAAACACTGGGATTATCATTTTATTTAATCTCTGGCAAAATGATATGGAAAAATCACTAAAAACAATGACTTTGTAGTATTTATTACTAATTTTCTTTTTGTCATTTGGCTTAAAATGCTAATACAAATCCTTTTTCTTGATCAGATTTTCTGCTTCTAAATAAAGCTATATATATATAATATATAAAAAATATATATATTATATATATATAATATAAAAAATATATATATTTTATATATATATATATATATATTTTTTTTTTTTGAGGCAGAGTTTCACTCTTGTTACCCAAGTTGGAGTGCAATGGCATGATCTCGGCTCACCACAACCTCTGCCTCCCAGGTTCAAGTGATTCTCCTGCCTCAGCCTCCTGAGTAGCTGGGATTACAGGCATACGCCACCATGCCCGCCTAATTTTGTATTTTTGTATTTTTAGTAGAGACGGGGTTTCTCCACGTTAGTCAGGCTGGTCTTGAACTCCTGACCTCAGATGATCTGCCTGCCTTGGCCTCCCAAAGTGCTTAGATTACAAGCATGATCTAAATAAAGCAATTATCTACATGCATCTTATCATTCTCCTTGTCTAAGGAGTTTCATATGGCAGATCTGAAGAAAACTCTTCTTAATTAGTAATGGTACTACCAGTTCATCACTCAGAGACCATTATGAGTTATAGCTGATCCAGATCTATTTTACCCAAATTTGATACTATTTTTTAAGTATGACAAAAACCCTGATATAGCTGACATTTTTTTTCTGATATATGTGACATGAAATCAATGTATAAGATGCATATATATACATAATTGAAAAGGGGCCAGTCATGGTGGCTTACGTCTGTAATCCCAGAAATTTGGGAGGCCAAAGTGGGAAGATCACATAAACCCAGGAGTTCAAGACCAGCCTGGGCAACATATTGAGACCTTGTCTCTACAAAAATAAAAAAAAATTAGCCAGGCTCGGTGGCATGTGCCTGTGTTCCCTGCTACTAGGGAGGCTGAGAGAAGAGGATATATTGAGCCTGCGAGGTCAAGTGTACTGTGAACCATGATTGTACAACTACACTCTGGCCTGGAAGCCAGAGAGCGACCCTATCTCAAAAAAAAAAAAAAACATTAAATTAAATTACAATCTGAAATTTAAAGGTTAGAATTATTTAAAGGGTACAATTATTTTAAGAACTCTCATATGTGAAATTGACCACTAAATCTGAAGAACAAGAATGATTCTTCAAAAACTTCAATTTATTACAAACTAAATTTAAAACTAAACTTGTGAAACTTTCCACTTATCTTTGTTCTGAATTTTTTAGCATTCCATAGTGAGCAACATAAATGATTTTTGAATAAACTTTGGGAAATTAAATAAAACAGGAAATTAAAAAAACTTTCAGATTGCCAGTTATTTCCAAATGACTAAAAGCTTTATTATCCCAGATAGAAAAACAAACAACAACAGCAAAAACCCTTAAACTGATCACTGAAATTTAGTCATGGCATTGGAAAAATCCACTAACGTGTTTTAAATATCTTTTAGCTCACAAAGGAAACCAGCAGGAATTGGTTGTCAGAATCTGAAGGAAAAAAAAATTATTATGTTATAGTTATTTTAAATTTTTGTTTTCATTGTCAGAAAAGCTGAAAAGAAGTGATTTTAGTTTGTGCTTTTGTTTTTCTTCTGTGCTATACTTCTACTACTTTTTTTTTCCTTTTCTTTCCTTCTTTTTTTTTTTTGAGACAAAATCTCTTTCTGTCTCCCAGGCTGGAGTGCAGTGGTGCTATCTCAGCTCACTGCAACTTCCACCTACCGGGTTCAAGTGATTCTGCTTCCTCAGCTTCCAGAGTAGCTGGGATTACAGGCACTCAGCACCATGCCCAGTTAATTTTTGTATCTTCAGTAGATACTGGCTTTCGCCATGTTGACCAGGCTTGTCTTGAACTCCTGACCTCAAGTGATCCGCCCACCTCGGCCTCCCAAAGTGTTGGTATTACATGCGTGAGCCACCGTGCCCGGCCATATACTTTTACTTTCTATCTCTTGGAATTCCCTAATTTATTTTATTTGCAATTTTCTATGATTAGAAGCCCCCAAATCTCATGGGTAAAGAATAAATTTGTAAAACATTTGAATTTAAAATAATACAACTCCAAGTAAATACATAAATTATTCTGCAGAATATTTAAGTTTATAATATCCATTAATCTATTGCCTGCATTATATGTATCCAAACAGCATGTAATAAAAAAAAGATTCAGCACATCTTATTTCTAGATTAGATGAGATACCATTTGGCTGTTGAAGCATATGCATGATTTGATTAATGGCATAACTCTGAGATCTGCAATATGCCTGTGTCTGTGAAATGCATCATATTAAATTGATAACCACTAGTGAGAATAGGGTAGGATTCATGGGTAGTATCCTTGGAGTATAAGGTTCCTTGTTTGTTTCTGTGGTTATTGCATCTGCTAATAATTTTTTTTCTATAACCATCTCAATAATTCATCTAAAACCCTTATCTTCCCTCAATCTGAGTCACAACTGGATTGTTTATTCATGTTTATAGCAGATTGTCAGTATTGAAATGAGTCTTGTTTAGGTGGTTCCAGATGGTTAATTCGTTTGTATCTGCAAAATGCTTTGACTATTTTGTGAGTTGTCTTTTTCTTTGAGTTTTGTATTCTGAACTGCAGAGGAAAGAAACATTAGAAGTTAGATGGATACTAAACCAAAACCAAACACACAGATACATGAACAAAAAGAAAAACAAAACAAGACAAAACAAAACAGAAGCTTACATTATGATTCAGCAGGTTCCTGGGGAGATGAGTGTCAGGAATTTGCTTTTACTGCACACAAAGTACACTGTATTGAAATCTGATTTTCTTCCTTAAAATGACAGAGTTTTTACTCAAATAATCTCAGCATATTACTTTATATTAAGGAAGTGCTTAATAAGTTTTAGCATAGATTATAGATTTCAAAAGTTTGTTTCTGACAGCAGTCCCAGTAGTCGTTTATCCAATTTTTTCATTTTATAGACAAGGAAATTGGGCTCAAATGGGTGAAGTGATTTGCTAAATACATCGGTATCAAAAGGACATTGTACAAGTTTGTCACCCAAATTTCTCAGCAACTAGTCAAGTACAGAGAGTCCATAACTCAGGATGGTTCAATTTACAAGTTTTTGACTTTATGATGTTGCAAAAGTAATACATAGTCAATAGAAACCATACTTTTAATACCCATACAACTATTCTGTTTTTCACTTTCAGTAGAGCATTCAATAAATTACATGAGATATTTTACACTTTATTATTAAGTAGTCCTTTTGTTCAATGATTTTGCCCAACTATAGGTTAATGTAAGTGTTGTAGGCATATTTAAGGTAGGCTAGGCAGTGATTTGATGCTCCATAATTTAGGTCTATTAAGCAAATTTTTAAATTGATATTTTCAATTTATGAGATTTATTAGATGTAACTCCATCACAAGTTGAGGAACGTCTATATGTAGCAACTAGTTGCTATATATATTATGTTATTAGAAATGAATGGATAAGAATAACCCAAACAATTTTTAATAATAGGTATTCATTGGTAATAAGTTTTGAAAGGATGAAAATCAAACATATTTTTAGTCTGGGCGTGGTGGCTCAGGCTGTAAATGCCAGCACTTTGGGAGGCCGAGATGGGCAGATTGCTTGAGTCCAGGGGTTTGAGACCAGCCTGGTTAACATGGCAAAAACCCATCTCTACTAAAAATACAAAAATTACCTGAGTTTGATGTCACATGCCTGTAACTCCAGCTCCTCCGGAGGCAGAGAAAGAATCGCTAGAACCTGGGAGGCTGACGTTTCAGTGAGCCAAGATGGCGCCATTGCACTCTAGCCTGGGTGACACAATGAGACCTTGTCTCAAAGAAGAAAAAAACAGTAATTATATTTTTAAAAAGGAGTGATGTCTGTTTGTGTTTTGAATTTCTTTGGGGGTAGAACTGCTTAGAAAAAAGAGGCAGTAAATTCAATAAGCCATGTTTCTAATTAGTACGTAATATGATGGTAATACTGAGTCAGAATGCTGACTGCATCCCTCAGGCATATACACTAACTTAATTCCATACTAAATATTTATAGAATGATGACAAAAGTCTGCTAGTTTAAACTAAATATTTTAGGTCTTGGTATCAAGACAACAACCTGGTTTCTTTTATTCTCTGTATCTTTGGCAACAGAAATTTTGCTTACTCATTTTCTTTAACTTTGAAAATTTGCTTTTTTTAAGTGTTTCTTTTTCCAAGTGTGCTGTAGATTTCTTCAATTCCAAAAGAAAAAATCATTCCTCTGGAAGTAATTTAAAAAAGAAATGCTTCTAATTTCACTAAGAAAACAGAGTGGATAAAAATATTAAGGGCATTGAAATTAAGGTTACCCATGTTAAAAAACAAAATCAGTCCTGTTGTTCTATATTCAAATTTTTTTTAATAGCTTAAATCTGAATTTAGTTGAGGTTTTATGATCAGCTCCCTTCTTAGAGGTTAATCCTGGGAATCCCATACACTTTATTCTACCTGTTTCTCCAGGAAAACTTCAGTATTTTTTTCATTCCTTCCCATCGTTCTCCTGAAAGTGTCTGCCCTCTTTGTTACATGACCTAGTAGATACAAGGGAAGGATTAACAATAGATGACACATGATAGGCTATATGAAATTCTTTAGGTTCAATATGTCTATATTTCAGAGAAACTAAGTGGTTGTATTTTTGTTTTCTTTTCTTTTCTTTTTTTTTTTTTTTTGAGATGGAGTCTCACTCTGTGGCCCAGGCTGGAGTGCAATGGCGCAATCTCAGCTCACTGCAAGCTCTGCCCCCCGGGTTCGTGCTATTCTCCTGCCTCAGCCTCCCGAGTAGCTGGGACTACAGGTGCCCGCCACCACACCAGGCTAATTTTTTTGTATTTTTAGTAGGGACGGGGTTTCACCGTGTTATCCAGGATGGTCTGGATCTCCTGACCTCGTGATCCGCCCGGCCTCTGCCTCCCAAAGTGCTGGGATTACAGGCGTGAGCCACTGCGCCCGGCCGTATTTTTCTATGTTCATTTTCTCTTCTTCAGTAGTCAGCCTCCAACAGGGTACATCTTAAGGGAAGTTAGAAAGGCACTCTGACTGTAGAATGACAATTATTTATTTCCTCCTGATATGTCCGTGAGAAACCCTCAGAGGAACACAGATCCATATAATTTAATTATTTCTAATCTCTAGATCATACGTTGGTCAAATTTACATAAATGTAATCTTTAAACAATTTAATTAAATGCAATTATTAATAATCAAATGATCACCTATAAACATGGCTCAAAGCAAGCATCAGAACATTGCTAATAACTTTCATTTATTTATATGCTCTGCTACTGTTGAATCCCTTTTGCTTCACCCACACCAACTAAACCCTATCTTTAGTTTTGTATGGCTCAGCCCATTGCTTTCTAAAGTTCTATGTAATACCTATGCACGTTAAAGAATATTTTCACTTCAGTTGATTTTGAATTTTATATTATATACCATAATTTATTTTTCATTGAATATCTATTTCTGCTTAACAAATAAAAACGTAGTGGCTTAAAGCAATCATTTCTTCCAATTTTTGTAGATCAAAAATTTGGAAGCAACTCAGTAAGCAAATTAGGCTCAGGGTCTCTCATGAGGTTAGGGTCGGATGGCAGCTGAATTGCAATCATTTGAAGGCTTGACCGGCCTTGGTGGATGCACTTTCAAAGGGCATACTCATCTGTCCAATAAATTAGTGCTGGAAAATTGACTTCTCTGCATGCAGGCTTCTCAGTGGAAATGCTTGAGTGTTCTCATAACATGGCAACTGATTTGCCGCAGTGCAAGTTAATCAAGAGACCAAGCCAAAAGTTGTGATATTTTTAATTTCTTAGTTTGGGAAGTCAGATATAATCACTTCAGCCATAATCTATTGGTTATATAGGTGACCATGATTTAATATGTGAGGAACTCAAAAAAGGCATGGAGACCAAAAGACAAGGATCACGGGACTATGTTAGAAGCTGAATATTACAGTTCTCTTGAAAATATGCACTTGAGTTGTATTTAGCTTTTTGCTGTTGTTAACAGTACTGGTGTGGATAGTATTGTACATATTTCCTTGTATATGCATGTAAGAATCACTCTTGCACATATGTCTAGGAATGTGATGCTAGGTCATGGAGTGTGAGACTATTTAATGTTATAAGATATTCCTAATGTGTTTTCACGAATGGCGATATAACTTTACACTCCAGGAATGCTGTAAAGTGCTGTTAATTCATATCCTCTTCATCACTTGGGATTGTTGATCTTCTTTCTTTATCCCAATCAAATGTGCATAAATTATATCTCACTGTGTTCTTGATCTGCATTTCTCTGATTACTCATGAAATAAAACATCTCTCTCAATGTTTACTGCCCATATGGGTTTCCTCGTCATTGAAATATTGATTAATGTCCTTTGCCCAGTTTTCTATTAGATTGTCATTTCCTTATTGATTTACACGTGTGTTTTATATATCCGTAACATAGGTTTCTTGTCATCCACATACATTTTAAAATTCTTTCTAGACTATACACTGTCTTTTCTGTTTTTTTTTAAGGTGTCTTTAGATGAACAGAAATTAATGCAGTAATTCCCATGCTTTTGGGGACAGTAGAGTCTGAGCATCTGATGAAAACTATGGACTGTTTTCCCAGGAAAAAAGTTCATTTACAAATTCATGCATATGATTTTAAGAATACAATGGACTCACTGAAATTCATTTAGGTCCTCAAGTGACCAGTGTCCTCTCTTGAGAAATCCTATTCTGAAATATAGATTTGGGGTGACAGTTTTTCACCTTAATTCTGTACTCCTGAAGGCCCCAAAAGCCTGTGTTAACTAATATAATTTATAAAGATTTTTAGCTGGCTCATGCCTGTAATTTCAGGCCTTTAGGAGATCGAGGGAGGATCGCTTGAGGCCAGTAGTTTGAGACTAGCCGGGACAATCAGTTGAGACCTCATCTTTACAAAAACAAAAAAAAATTATTAGCCAGGCATGATGGTGCATGCCTATATTCTCAGCTACTAGGGAGGCTAAGGTGGGAGGATCGCTTAAGTCTGGGAGATGAAGGTTACAGTGAGCTGAGATCATGCCTCTGCACTCCAGCCTGAGTAACAAAGACCCTGTCTCCAATTTTTTTCTTTAAATGATGTTCTTATTCCTTTTTTTTTTTTTTTGGAAATAATTTCAAACATAAGAAAAGGTGTAAGATATGTACAAATAACTTCTGTATATCCTTCACTCAGATTCAATTAACATTTTGCCACACTGGCTTTATTTTCTCTATTACTCCATCTCTCTCTTTCTGTGTCTCTGTCTCTCTCTCACACATACACACACATACCCACATACATGCATTAACACTTTTTTTCTAAACCATTTGGAGTCAAGTTGCAAACATCATGTCCTCTAAATACTTCAATGTACATTTCCTGTGAACATGGATATGCGTATGTCTTATGCATCACATTGTAATTATCAAACCAGTAATGAAGCATTTCAAAACATATGAGATTAAAGATACATGAAGACTAAAAGCAATATACAGTCTGTGATTGGATCTTCAACTAGAAAAGGCAAACTGGATTTCTACTAAAGATATTAATGAAACGAATTTTAATATTCTTAAACTGTGGTAATTTGTTCGTTTGCGTTAATCATTTAAAATCACTTTTCCCACCTGAAGTGTATAGAAAATACTGACGTATTTTTTTATTCAGCTTTCTCTTTTACAAATTAAATGTCGTTAATATTACTCGTTTATGATATCTGTAATTATAACATGGTTATATATTATGGCTTCAGAATAATATAGGTCATATTTCTTATTTTACTGTTCTAATTCAAGTCGTCATGATGAAAGTTTTAGTGAAATGCCCTAGTTTCTCTTAGGATGGATTAACTTTAGATAAACGTCCATGTTTCAAATGCCACATCTTGAGCATTTACTAAATTTAAGCCAGAGTGACATAATCTGATAACAGTCTGTATTCACTGCAGAGAGTCACCACACTTGGGATTCATACATTCCTCCTCACAGATAGAATACATGCTGGACTACATCTGGCTTTCTGATGCTGTCTGAACATTCGGGTGCCATTCAACAAAGTGGAAATTGTATTTTATTCCATTGTCTTTTACCATGGTATACATCAAGGGATTGTTCTAACATTTCTGTGGTCAGTCTATAACCTGGTATTTAATTTATTTCAGTATTTTAACACAATGAAGAGTTTAACCATTTCTACTTTTTGATCTTTTCTTTGAAAAGTGTATTAGTCTGGGCTGGGCGCCATAGCTCACGCCTGTAATCCCAGCACTTTGGGAGGCCCAGGTGGGCGGGTCACAAGGTCAGGAGATGGAGACCATCCTGGCTAACACGGTGAAACCCCGCCTCTACTAAAAATACAAAAAATTAGCTGGGCGTGGTGGTAGGCGCCTGTAGTCCCAGCTACTCGGGAGGCTGAGACAGGAGAATGGCCTGAACCCGGGAGGCTGAGCTTGCAGTGAGCATGGGCGACAGACCGAGACTCCATCTCAAAAAAAAAAAAAAAAAAGAAAAAGAAAAAAAAGTGTATTAGTCTGATTTCACACTGCTAATAAAGACATATCCGAGACTGGGTAATTTATAAAGGAAACAGGTTTAATGGACTCAGTCACGGTGAAGGCAGAGGGGAAGCAAAGGCCCATCTTACATGGTGGCAGGCAAGAGAGTGTGTGCAGGGGAACTTGCATTTATAAAACCATTAGATCTCATGAGGCTTACTCATTACCACAATAACAGTATGGGGAAACCACCCCCATGATTCACTTATTCTCCATGTGGCCCCACCATTGACATGTGGGGATTATTACAATTCAAAGTAAGATTTGGGTGGAGACACAGTCAAACCATATCAAAGAGCAAACTTAAAAATATAAAATACGCTTCAAATCACCACATTTTAAATTCTATAAAATAAGAATTAAGAGTTCACTTTTTTCTCTTCCAGTATCACCATTTTTTAACTTTTGAATGTCTTCATTTTGTTTCTATACTCATTTCATAATGATATTGTTTGTACATGTGATGACGTTTCTGTGTTTCCACGATGGGCTTATTTACCTTGGAAAAGCCCAGATGCAAGAGAGTCCACTTTCCTTTTCCTTCCACCTCCCAGTCACAGGCATCTGTTTTACATATTGGAATTGTATTTACTTCTCTTGTCTTCTGTGTCACATTAAAGATGTTCTGTTTGCACTCACCTGTGCTCTTCCATTTTTACATATCAATCCAAATAAAACTCAATAACCAATTCTGATTTCAAAATTTTTACCTTTTTGAAAATTAACCTTATTTCCTTTCTTTTCAAAATGACTTCACATCTTTTTCACTTGAAATTTTGCATATAATTAAATCCAAACCACACTTACTTCTCTATGTAACCAAACTCTATATACTCATGTACCTCATATGTACTGTGTTATATGGTTAAGTTGTTTGATAATATTTTTATTAATTCGTTATAAATAATATGAAGGTGGAACCAGTATATTTTGTATACCTTTCCTCATGATCTCTATTCCCCCCTGTGTACACACACACACACACACACACACACACACACACACACACTCAAATATTCTACTCAGCATACTGTCATACACAGAGTGGGGACGTAGGAAAATAATTAGGTAAGTGAATGATTCTTTGTGATAGGTAGTAGGAAATTTTTCCTATGAATAAAATTGTGTGAAACCAGAACTCTGCAGTTGCTCAATATTACTATTTAGAAGGAGAAGCTGATTACTGAATGGTTTTTGTTCTGGGCTCTACACTCTAGACCTTTGCTACTCAAAGGGTGGTCTGGAAACAACTCAATCAGAATTTGTATTATTACAAAATCTCCAGGTGATTCATATACACAGTAATGTAATGTTTGAGAGGCATAAGACCTAGCTGAAGTTGTAACTAGCCAAGATCCATCACCCTTTTTGTACATTTGTTTAGTTTTATTAGTGCAATTTTCTTTACAATTTAGTATACTATAATTGTGAATAATTTGTTTATGTGCTTGAATATTTTCCATACAAGCATTTTTTTCCTTTATGTGGTGTTTCAGTCAAAGTCACTACAATGACAATTTTCTTAGATTGTCAGATTAAAACCTTCAAAGGCCCTTAATATAGCCAGTACCTACATGTAAGGTAATTAAATGAGTACTTAATAGGTAGTAAATTAGTTAACGAAGTAATTAGGAAGCAAAACAGCTAGGATAATAAGAGAACAGAGAACCTTTTGAAAGGATAGTAATACTTGTTCATGTTGGTTTGAATATATTGCCTTCGTGCTAATGAAGATCATTGGTTCAATTAACCACATTTCAAGCTAGCGATTTCTTAAATACTTTGAGCAAAGTCAAAGCTAGGGTGATCCAAAACACATGAGGCTGTTGAGGACTTAGAAGGGGAAAGAATCACATATTATTCATTTCAATGCAGATTTGTTTTTAAAGCTTTGTTCTAATACCATGAGGATTGATAAAGACTGATTTCCACACCATGTGGGAGAAGCCATAAGGGCTGCAACATGTGGTTTCTATCTCACTGGATTTACTATCTGGTAGGGGACACAGGTGTGAACAATCCTAAACGTTAACTGAAGGAAGCATGAACTAACTTCTACATGATGATAGCCTGTTGCGGAGTATGTTAGAGTTTTCCAGAGAAACAGAATCAATAGGATGAGTATGTATAAAAGACACTTAAGAAATTGGCTGATGCAATTATAGAGACTAACAAGTCCAAAATCTGTAGGTGGATTGATAGACTGGAGTCTTAGAGAAGAGACAATATAGCAGTTCATGTCTGAAGGCCTTCAGGCTGCACAGTTCTCTCTTGCTCAGGGAAATTCAGTCATTTGCTCTATTCAAGCCTTAGACTAATTGTATAAAGCTAACCCACATTATGGAGGGCAGTCTGCTTTACTCAAAATCCAGTGATTTAAATGTTAATCTCAACGAAAAACACCCGTGCAAAAACACTCGGAATAATGCTTGACTGCATATCTGAGCCGAGTGGTCCAACCAAGTTGTCACTCCCCTTGCTTTATTGATTAGTCATTTTCTTATTTGAAAACTTCTGGCTATTCTATGACCAGATAAAAAATAATTGCCTGTGAAAAAATAAAATTTAAAAACATTATATTAAATCCTACTGTTCTCCAGTCATAGGTCTACCACTTCCCTTCTTGCCTTGGTTCTAGTTTTCAGAGGAATTGAGGCAATTGGGTGTGGAGTGTTTTCCTTCATCCTTGGTTAAGAGTCTCTGCTGACTTTGCCTTACAGATAGAAGGAGGCCCCTCACCATATCAGCCAGACAGCTCTGTATGATGCATGTTAATCTTCTCCCTTTGCTCTGAGGCAAAAGAATGCATTGCAGTGTTGGCAATATAGAGGAAGAGGAGAAGTAATTTGATTTTTATCACTGTTTTTCTTCTAAAGAATTACTGTGTCACAGCAGAAGGGCATAAAACTATCTAAGAATGTGAACTCTGTCCCCAGAATGGGAGAAAGTAGGCAGCCAGAAGAGTTTGAAATGTTGATCATATGGCTCAGCTTTCCCCATCTGGATACGTAATGGTATTAATAATCTTGTTGGAAAACCCACGACCAGGAACAAAGGCACTTTCTTGTTTTCTTTTGTTTGTTTTGCTCTCATAACTGGGTTGTAGTGGTCAGATATGAATCAATATTACATTTGAGAACTTATGAAGGGAAATGTACAAGAATTTAGTGCCCAAGAAAAATTAAAGGCACGTTGAAAAGTCCATTATGTTCTTTGAAAGATATGAACAGACACTTCTCAAAAGAAGACATTTATGCAGCCAAAAGACACATGAAAAAATGCTCATCATCCCTGGCCATCAGAGAAATGCAAATCAAAACCACAATGAGATACCATCTCACACCAGTTAGAATGGTGATCATTAAAAAGTCAGGAAACAACAGGTGCTGGAGAGGATGTGGAGAAATAGGAACACTTTTACACTGTTGGTGGGACTGTAAGCTAGTTCAACCATTGTGGAAGTCAGTGTGGCAATTTCTCAGGGATCTAGAACTAGAGATGCCATTTGACCCAGCCATCCCATTACTGGGTATATACCCAAAGGACTATAAATCATGCTGCTATAAAGACACATGCACAGGTATGTTTATTGTGGCACTATTCACAACAGCAAAGACTTGGAACCAACCCAAATGTCCAACAATGATAGACTGGATTAAGGAAATGTGGCACATATACACCATGGAATACTATGCAGCCACAAAAAATGATGAGTTCATGTCCTTTGTAGGGACATGGATGAAATTGGAAATCATCATTCTCAGTAAACATTGCAAGAACAAAAAACCAAACACCGCATGTTCTCACTCATAGGTGGGAATTGAACAGTGAGAACACATGGACCCAGGAAGGGGAACATCACACTCTGGGGATTGTTGTGGGGTGGGGGGAGGGGGGAGGGAGAGCATTAGGAGATATACCTAATGCTAAATGATGAGTTAATGGGTGCAGCACAGCAGCATGGCACATGTATACATATGTAACTAACCTGCACATCGTGCACATGTACCCTAAAACTTAAAGTATAATAATGAAAAAAAAAAGAAATACTAAGAGTCATATGTGTTATTTTTATTAGGGAACATGGATGAAAATATTTATATTTCATACAAACTTTTAAAGTAATGCTTATAGTTTATTCTAGTTGCTCTTCACCTTAGGATGGGTTTATGTCACTATAAACCCATTATGAGTTGAAAATATACTAAGTTTAAATGCATTTAATACATCTCATTATACATCTCAAACATTTTAGCTTGGCCTAGCCTACCTTAAATGTGTTCCGAACACTTACATTAGCCTACAGTTGGGCAAAACCATCTAACACAAAGCTTATTTTATTTAAAGTGTTGAATGTTTCAGGTAACTTATTGAATACTATATTGAAAGTGAAAAACAGAATGGTTCTATGGATGCTCAAAGTACAGTTTCTACTGAACACGTATCACTTTCACCCCATTGTAAAGTTGAAAAATCATCAAGTTGAACCATTGTAAATTTGGGACTGACTATATATGAAATCAAATAGATATCATATATAAGATGTTAAAACATTCCCAATTATAAAAACATTTTTATTGAAATTGAAATATATTGATTCAAATTACATGGGAATTTTCATGAAGAAATATCTTTTCACTATTTAGTATTCAATGCAAATTATTTATCATTAATGTATCTTTGGGTTGAAATACTGACAGTCTTACCCCCCAAAATAAATGGAATGTGAAACATAATTTTCTTGATCTTATCTTCGTGAAGAGAACATTCCACTGCTTCCCAAATGTATTTGATTGCAAACAAATTGAGACTTCTTGATGAATGAAAGTTTAAATGATATATTGTTACCTAATTATGTTGTACAATGCATTATTTTAAATATATATACCAATAGCAAATCAATTGTTTATGTTCTACAGAAGTTAAAAAATAACCTAGATTAAGTTGACATAGTCAATGTGATATGGAAAACTGAAAAACTGATATGGTAATTCAAGTAAAACAAAAAATCAAATATTTTCTTTCTGTAATTGAAAGTACAGTTAAGGGAGATGTTTTTAGCCATGTGAAGCTCAATACACTCCCTAAAAATAAATGTGCCAAGCTTAATTTTCAAATATCCTATGTGATTTTAATCCATTACTCTTAGATCTGAGTTTTAAAAGAAACAATCCAATATTTGTTTATTTCTTTCCCTCTCTCCTCTGACCCCACACAGAGGTATATAAACACACACTTAATTTTGGTGATCACTATCAATAAATAGTTCAATATTTCCATTGCACTGACCCTTTGCCTTGGGTAGTTAGTTCTGTCCCCATCTAAAAACTCTAGTATGATCCTTATTTACCCAAATCCTTACACTACACCATATATTCCATGATCAGCAACTCTAACTTTCAGAGTTTTCTTGACCTTTTCTCTCTGTTTTTTGTTCATTTGCTTTGCCTGAAAAAGCCAAGCTATTGAAGTGTACTTGTGTTTATGTAAAAGCTATTTTTCTTCCTGGAAACTTCATCTGTCAGGCAAATTCTATTTATTTTTCAAGGCTTCATTCAATTGACAGCATATTTATTGTTTTTTTAAATTCTGTTTTGATGCCTTGCCTTGATTCCCTGGATACATCAGGCATGTACTTATTTATTTGTGCCTTTAAGAGAGCACTTTTTGCATTTCATTAATATCATTAGTTTATGTGTTTGTCTCAATCACAGGGTTATGAACTTTTGGTGGCAGATACTATGTCTTATTCTTCATTTCAACAGCACTTTATGGCATACTATACAGGTTCAATAAAAGTTTACTGAATGAGTAAATACATAATGGACATCTGTGCACACAAGTGAAATCTGTGCTTACCCAAACAAATTGTGAGAACATAAAAACACCATATATGTATACTTTATAATATTTAAGATATTTTATGTGAGAACATAAACCATATATATACTTTATAATATTTAATATAGTTTATAATATTTCAGTTTCCTTATGGCAATCATACATGAGTTTACCTCCCTCTCCTTACCCCCACCCCCAAATAATATACTGACCTCTGGGGAAAGAATAGAAAATAATTACATTTTAAAACTATTTATTCAACACACAAAATAATATTGCTTGACGAACTATTATGTTATCAGTTTCTGTATTAGCAAATTGAAGGTAAAAATTTGCTTCATATAATTTTTCAGATGGGTCTGTCTTGGCACTACTAGTCTGCTAGAACTCGTCAAATCTAGATTAGCATCGTGATGTATTTAAACAATCTTATGTAATGAATATCTCAAAAACAATTACGTGAATATCTGTTAAATATATTATGTATATAATAGATATAATTATTATTGTATTATAAAAATATTATTATACTATTATCCTCATTTTGAAAAAACAAATTGGGGCATTAAAAATGAAAAAACAAATTGGTGCACAATGCAAAGTTATGAAGACACAAGGGAGCATGGTATATTCAGGAACCACGAGTGGTGGTATATGCCTATACTGTACTGGCTGATAGAGGCCAACTGAGTTGCATCTTTATGCCTGCAGCATACCCGCTGATAGAGTCCAATCGAGTTGCACCTTGTAGAAATAAATTCTATTTTTTTTTTCCAGCAAGAAGTGGAGCCATTGAAGTATTTTGTTGCTGGGTTTTTTTTTTTTTTTTTTTTTTAATGGTGTTTTGCTCTTGTCGCCCAGGATGGAGTGCAATGGCACGATCTTGGCTCACTGCAACCTCTGCCTCCCAGGTTTAAGTGATGATTCTCCTGACTCAGCCTCCTGAGTAGCTGGGATTACAGGCTCATGCCACCATGCCCAGCTAATTTTTGTATTTTTAGTAGAGACTGGGTTTCGCCATGCTGGCCAGGCTGGTCTCGAACTCCCGACCTCAGATGATCCACCTGCCTCAGCTTCCCAAAGTGCTGGGATTACAGGCGTGAGCCATCGCGCCTGGCTGCCATTGAAGTGTTTTAAAAGACCACTCCTTCCTTTTATGAGCACTGATACATAAAATTAGATTTTGCTTTCAAATTTAACATCTCATGTTGGTCTTTGAACTTTTTTAAAAAAAGTTCTGTCCTCATTATTCTGTTCTATAAGTGGTGCTTACCATTATGAACAAATTTTTCCCCCATAATAAATTGTTTATTTGCAGAAAGGGTTTTTCACATGATAAGCCCCTTGTGAATTCCTTGGATAAAATATACACAGGAACATTCATTATTATTCTCATTATTTTTTATTCACATCATTGTCATTATCATTACCATCATTATTTGTCTTTCTCCATCTGTTTTTCCCTCGCTCCCTAAAGGTTTTTCTGCTATGCTTCATTCCTTATTAGGAATTAGTTTTATTCGGCGGATTTATTTTCATTATTTTCTTATTGCCTTTTTTCTACCTACCAGATGACGGGTGTGTGTTTGTGTGTGTGTGTGTATCAGAGAGTGTTCAACCATCTTAAACATTTCAGCCCGTATCTACATATGGATATATGAATACAATAATGATCAGGATTTAAGATCTATAATGCTGCCAGTTCCATTTCTGGATATTCGTCTGATTTGTGAGGAATATTTTGGCTTTGTTCTGTCTCTTAAATGAACCCTTTGTCAGTGACTGACTTACTGGGTACCATGAACAGTGGTTAAAATGGGACAAGCAGAGACTCGTTTCATATGACAGCTTTCTGAATGATGAGTGCAGTCCTCTTCCCTTCCTCCATCTGTAAGTGTTCTGTGAGAGCATATTACAAAATTAGTGAATCATACTCCCGCATCTCTTGAAGTGAGGAGGATGTGTGTTTAGTGAGAAATGGTGACTACGTGCAGCTTAGTTCTGGATCCTGATGGGGAAGGGATGCAGGCCCATGAGGCCATGGACAAAAAAGACATAATTTTAACTTTCAGTTATTATTACTCCTTTCATCCAAATTTGCCCTTAAATAATGAAAATAGCATTTTATGTTTGGAGAAATATTTTAAGTAAATTTGTAAAATCTTTGTTCTATTGTTATTCCCCACAGTGCTTAAGTCATTCTTCAGTGTTAAGGTAAAGCAATGGAAATGAAAAACTGTTTCAGTTCATTATCACTATAGGACGCAACATGGAAACTCAGTTGTACAAAAAGAAGTACTGCACTTTATAAAGTATCTAAATAAATTCCGTTGAATAGCTCAGTCAATGGAAGAACACAGCCTCTTCTTAATTCAATGTTTTCTTTTAGAGAATGTTAGGAGACTATATGTTAAAGGATTTTATAAAGTCAGAAATGTCACACAGATACCATGAATGCTTGTAATACATAAGTAGGCAGAGTTAAACATATTTTCTCTTTCTCTGCATATTCTTTTTGGCATTTTAGGTTTTAGGGCTTAATAGAGTGCACTATGCATTGGACTAAAATCCTATTTTCTGGAAACACAAAATTTAAAAACAACAAGATGTGTGAGAAGGCTACTCGGCATATTACATGGAGGACTGGGATCCCACTATTTGGATTTTCTTACTCAAGATTCTGTTGCTATCTATTTTTGTTGTTCATTTATTCCCTTAACAGATAGCAAACCAAGGGTCTATGTAATACATGGCCCTATTTCAGCAGTGAGGAAGAATCTAAATATGAATTAAATTGAGTCTCTGCCCTTAAGAAGTCTTTAGTGGTTTTCACAGTGCTTTACACAGAATTTGAAAGGCGTACAGAGGTGTCTCAGAAATAGCCTATGGTAGTAAGTCATGGCAGGACCACCTGTTGGCACTGTCTTTGCTCTCTTGTGACTCTAGAATTTCCATTATGAATAACTGCTATATTAAGATTCCGAATAAAATTTCGTTTGAAATAAAGAGAATGGTTCACCAAAATTTCTGCTAGAAAGCAGAGAGGAAGATTTATCTTCATCTCACTGCAACTAGGCAGCTCATTACAATCTGCATTCCTCATCACATTCCTTGGTCTTACTGGTTAAATTATTAACTTTCTTCCCCCAAAATGCTAGAGTAAAATTGATTGTAAAATTGAGAAAATATGATGTTCATGCTCCAGTAATGATAGATTTCTGTTTTCCTGGGTCTACTAAAAACACTTTTGAGATTGATAAACAACAGCCTCCTTATTATCTAAACTTACTTTAGTCTACAACTAAGCCAAATATGTATAAAGAAAAACACTCTCCTGTGATTCAGTCACCTACTCTGGGCTTCCTTATGTGGCTTCAGGGGAATTGTGAGGGGGAAAAGTAGGCTACTGCAAGGCCTTGGAGGCCTAGGAGATAGACCTTGTGCCATGTCATTTCTGCCACATCTCATCATCACATTGGGCAAAGCAAGCCTAGCCCCGATTCTGAATATTGACAAGCTCCAAAGTATTATGAAGGATGATTAAGAGAATATGTAAAAATAAAACACCAGATGATAAAATTTATATAATTGTGTAGACATCTAACTGTTAAGCATGGGATGTTTGCAAATTTAGTTTCTGAAGAATTTATATGTTTTTCAAAACATTTAGTTTCTATTAGGCTTCTCTGTACATCTTGCTTTGATATTAAGACAGTCTGAGTTTAATAAAAATTCTATTAAAAGTAAATCAGGCCAGGCACAGTGGCTCATGCCTGTAATCCCAGCACTTTGGGAGGCCGAGGCGGGCAGACTGTTTGAGCTCAGTAGATGGAGACCAGCCTGGGCAACGTGGCAAAACCCCATCTCTCCCAAAAATACAAAAAAAAAAAAAAAAAAAAAATAGCTGGACATGGTGACAGGTGCCTGTGGTCCCAGCTACTTGGGAGGCTGCGGTGAAAGAATCGCTTGAGCCTGGGAGGTGGAAATTGCAGTGAGCCGAGATCGCAGTACTGCACTCCAGCCTGGGTGACAGAATGAAACACTGTCTAAAGAAGAAAAAATATATATATTTTTAAAAGTAATAAAACTAAAAATGGATTAAGTATTATTGTCTTTTTGATTAAACAAACATCTGTTGAGTTTGTGTAAGTCAGCAATTTTGTTAGAAACATATTATCTTGAAGATATAATCCTATCTTTAAGACGTTCATCATTTAGAACAAGATCCAATAAGTAAACAAATTCTTTTGAGTTACATTTCTCCAGAATTATATACAATCTGGCTAAACTATACCCCAAGTCAACCTTATAATATATATATTTTTATTTTTGCATATTTAATAGCATTTCCTTAAAAATATGCCTATCTGGCTGGGGGCCATGCCTCATGCCTGTAATCACAGCACTTTGGGAAGTCGAGGCGGGCGGATCACCTGAGGTCAGGACTTCAAGGCCAGCCTGGCCAACATGGTGAAACCCGTCTCTACTAAAAATATTAAAAAGTTGGGTGTGGTGGCACATACCTGTAATCCCTGTTGCTTAGGAGGCTGAGGCAGGAGAATTGCTTGAACCCGGGAGGTGGAGGTTGCAGTGAGCCGAGATCATGCCACTGTACTCCAGCCTGGTCGACAGTCAGCCTCTGTTAAAAAAAAAAAAAAAAAGACTATCATATGCAAGAGTTGTTCCATAAATAACTGGTAAATGTGGTAATGACAGTGATGATGTGCCTGGCAACCTCTCTCCTCCAAGATTGAATGCTTCATTTAAATGTTTGTGTTTTATTTTTTTACTACGATTTAACTTTTTTGCAGGCTGTGTGATAGTTGGGATTTTTACTGTGTCTGCGCACACGCATTTGATGAGTGATCTTTACCATGGCCTTCTCCCCATACTTGTCATTTCTGTTAGCGTTTGTCATGCCATAAAATGCACTTGTTTACTGAAGCTATTTAAATAATTGTAATTTTATGTTTCTTGCTTAATAGTTTTATGTGTATCTTTATTGTTGCACACCAGCCTTCCCTGTAGGATATATGGAAGGCTAATATATTCATCCTGTTTGCTTATCTGCCTATCCATTCTGAGGGATACTCTGCCAGGAAACAGTGCATTTGTATATGAACGGATAGAGAGGAGAATTTATTTAGTTTCATAGCAATAGAATTAAATTATGTTTCAGGCCTCCAGTTATGAGTCTGTCTAGGCCTCATCTCTATAGCATATGAGAAAATAAGATGTTTTATATATATTAATACTTTATATAACTTAAGCTGACCCCTTGACAGTAATTTAAAATGTGATCACTTTGATGGAAAATGTTATTCTGTTTGTTTTGTAGTTCTATCATTGAAAAGGTTATTAAATATATTTCAGCTTCTTTTATGAGTCTAGGATGGTTATTGCTCCATTAAATAACTGGAGAGGGATTAAGGGAATCAAGTCCAGGTCTTTAAAATAAGTTGAGGGCACAGCTTTCCCGGGATTGTGGGTGTGGCTGTCACAGGAGCATGTTGGAAACTGTGAGCTCTGGGCCACAGTATCAGAAGTGAACTCTTAGGTACTTGGCACATATGCCTATTTCTAGGCATTTTACATATAACTTTCATTTCCATCTTGTTTTGAAAATAATTTAAAGCTCTACGAAAGTTAAAAGAATAGTACAACAGTCACCCTTTACCAGTTGTTAACATTTGGACTCATTTGCTGTTGTTCAACCATTTAAAAGTAAGATGTAAACATTATGACTCTTTATAAATATTTTAATGTGTATTTCTTAAGAAAAATAATACTCTTCTACATATCAGAAGCATGTTCATTATTCAACAATATGTAGCATTGCCTCAATATTATTTAATTTTTAGACCATATTTAAGTTTTTCTAATTGTTTTTAATTCTTCTTGATTTGGTCCAGGATCTAATCAAGGTACAAGAATTTCATTTATTTGTCTTTAATCTCCTTTAATCTAGAGCGATGACCCCTCCAACCCTGACCACAATTGTCTCTCATAACACTGACATTTTTGATGAGACAAAACCAATTACCTTGTAAAATATCTCACGTTTGTATATAGGTTATGGTTTCTGCAGGTGTAGATCTATGGTAGAATCCTTTTGGCAAGAATACTGTGTAGGTGATGGTTTACACTTAGCTTTGCATCACTTCAAGAGACATTATGTCAGTTTATTCTGTTATTGAAGAAGCCATGTGTGATCACATAATTAACACCTTGACCATTAGTTTCTTTTATTGTAAGGATATGCATTGCCTTTTGCAATTCAGAAGTAATTTCTAGAACAATGCTTTAAGATCGTGTATCAGTCCTTTCTTGCATCAATCTATTAGGGTTTTTGTCTGAGTTAATTGGGGCTTTCCAAAGGGTGATTTTAAAAGTTCTAACATATCTACATTCATTATCTGACATATTTCTGTGAATAAGTGCTTTTTTACAAAAATCTCAGTCTCTTTGTCTAGGACAAACTCTTTGAAGTGGCTCCTTTGTCCTTTTTGATATGTTCCCATTAGTCTTGAAGCATTTCCTTTTTTCCTGACAAAATAAAATGCTGTTCTTATACTTTCCCTGCCAGACATGGCATCAGCCATTTCTCCAAGGAACTTGATAGGGAATAGCATTTAGAAACTCCCATCTGAACACCAGGTGTACCCATAACTACTTGATTACCGCAAGTCAAATCCAACATCACACAGTTCCTTCTCGTTTCCTCCATCCAGTAGGTGTGTCTTTTTGCTCCCATAGAGAAACTCATAGTTCCTAACTATCTGTGTCCTTATTCACTTATAATATACAAAATATCTTCAATATAGTTGAAGACTTCTTTGCAGAGGCTATGTAGAACTAAGGCTATATGATATTAACAAGTAACTCTTTCATGGTTAAACTGTTACTTATTGTAGATAGATATTAAGCCATCATTGGGTTTTCTTCCTACCTCCTCTATGGTATTATCATATCTCCAGGGGCTCACTAATGTTTTGTAGACTTACATGATCATTACGTAAACTTTTCCAAGTTTAACTGGAGTTCGAGATTATTTTTCAAAATTTTTTGAATAATAAAGACACTTTCGATAATAAAGTGTCTCCTATGCAGATACTCAAAGAGCTAAGAAACATCCAGTGCTTGGCTACCTGGATAAAGAGACATGCTAAGATAACAACAGTTGTAGGGCGCAGAGATGGAGTTTGAAGAAGAGACAATGGATTAAATTATGCTTGTAAGTGAGCAGATGTGAGAGATTTTGGACTCTGTGGCTTGTTTCAGTAATCCTGGAGAATGGGCTTTGTCCACCGTATTAAAATGAAAAAACACTGAACTGCTTTTTGGTGTAAAGTGTGGCTGCAATGAACAGTATCTCACAAGCTTGCAATAATATAAGACGCTCCTAGAAAGGGAAATCTCAGGGATTTCCTAAGAACTTGACAGGCCAGTCTCTGAGACTATTTTAACCAGTATCTGACTATAGAGGGCAACCAGACATATACAACACATTTTAAAGAACTTAGGAAACACCAGCAACAAACAAATTTTTAAAAATATTGATTGTTGTTTTTATTTTTAATTCTTATTGTGTTGGACGTATGATATTTATGTACTAAGCTACAACTTAGATGTTAATTCTGCTTTATAAGTCAGGGTGCTGAAGTTCAGACTGATTCAGCAAATTTTCTAAGTTCATACAACTAATAATGCCAAAGATGAAATTTAAATGTAAAATTATCTAACTCCAAACCCTATGCTCTTTCTATCTTGTTATACTAACTGATCATTTGAAGACAGAGATATCTCTTTGCAAAGCCCACTAATGTTTGCTTGCCCAATACTTCTTCATGTATTTCATTATTTATAAAAAGATCAACGTGAACTGAATGCTTGTTTGTCCAGCAAATAAACATATACACTGTAGAAGACAGAAAAAAGATAAAGTTCAACAAATCATAGGATAGAAATTTCCTGAAGATTTTTTTCATGTTGTCATTTTGCTTTGAATTTATGATGAGACCAAGAGCTAGTTATAGAATTTGATTTCATTTGTTTTCAATTAACAAAGCTCTCAGCAATTTTGTGTAATAAACCTCCCTATTCATTCAGTACTTACTATATGTTGGGCGCTGTGCTAATTACTTCACATAAATTAACCCCTTTACCTCACAGCAAACCTGTAAAGTGGGAATTATTATTTCCATTTCACATATGAGGAAGCTGAGGCTTAGTGAGATTGAATGATTTGCCAAAGTACACTACTAGTAAGTGGCAGTATAAGGATGTGATCCTATGTCCTTTCTGTCTCATTTTGTAATGGACTACTCTGTAGATTTTACTGTTTTGAGGTCCATGGAGATTTGAGGTTCATGGAGATTTATTCATGACTCCATATCCCATAGTTAAATTTCACTCACAGGATTTAATCCCAGCTATTTTTCAATACTCAAAAGAAATGAATATTCAGTATGTATAAATGTTCATGCAATCTCTATTAGAAGTAGATAGAACGCTTCCATTTTGGAAAAAAAGGGGCTTTCAGAGTTCCATGTCAATGTGGCATCTGTCTCAATTTGCTATTCATTCACAACACCTACTGTCACCTGAGAAAAACTTTCCATTGTGTAGTTCAGTTTACTGAACCCTGTGTTAGCATGAGACTCATATGTTAGAGAAATTGGTGCAGTTCTGACTCTACGCACTTGGAAAGGTGGTTTCCTCAGGACAATCTACTGATGGAAATTCTAGCCCTTGGGAGTTCAAAACTTATCTAGATTAGAAACATCTGCAATTCAGGGCCGGATGTGATGGCTCACACCTTCACACCTGTAATCCCAGCAGTTTTGGAGGCCGAAGTGGGTGGATCACTTGAGTTCAGGAGTTTGTACTATACTGGCCAACATGGTGAAACTCTGTCTCTACTAAAAATACAAAAATTAGCCAGGTGTGGCGGCGCATACCGGTAATCCCAGCTAATCTCCTGAAGCTGAATTGTTCGAATCCGGGAGGTAAGAGGAGGAGGTGGCAGTGAGCCACGCTGCTGCACTCCAGTCTGGGCGACAGGGAGAGACTCCCTCTCAAAAAAAAAATAAATAAATAAATAAATAAAATAATAATAATAATAATAGAAACATGTACAATTAATCTTGAGAGTCTACAGGTAGATCAAAATGAGACACAGGAGTTTTCCATTGGTTTGAGGAAGACTGCTTTGTTTTCCATTGTTTTGTTTTCCAAGAAAATAAAGTTTGTTTTCTAGAGTTTAGTAAATATTGTAGTATCCTTAGCGAGTAGCTCAGCATTATTTTGAATATCAATATGACATATCAACTGGGAACATTTTAATATAATATTTAAGGATCTCACATATGTACTTTTCAGAAATGTGCTTTGTTAGAGGAATTTATTGTGAATTTTTCAATCCTCGTTTTCCATCTGACCAAAATTAATGCAATTATATATTTGAATTAGCGAAGACCGTGAAAGCACTGTGACAGAATAATTATCTTTAATTATACTAATTACATTAATGGATAAAACTTGATGATTAGGGCATTACTCTGTGAAAATAATAGCTTTATA
This sequence comes from Homo sapiens, assembly GCF_000001405.40. Taxonomy (NCBI): domain Eukaryota; kingdom Metazoa; phylum Chordata; class Mammalia; order Primates; family Hominidae; genus Homo; species Homo sapiens. The sequence goes on along the minus strand of NC_000008.11, from coordinate 14,761,046 downwards.
TTCATGATTGGATTGTGTTGCAACTTATCTTCGAAATCCCCACCACCGCTTCTTCTGACCTACATCTGACATCCAACAGTTTAACAAAACTTTGAACCCACATTCACCCAAATATACCTTGAGCTTCTGAGACCTTTGCCAGTTAACTGAGATGATTCAGACTACTATATTTCACACACATGAAAAAGGAAACAGGGCCCTCAATTAATTTAGAATTTCAAATGAACAACAAATAAACTTTTTAGTATAAGTAGGGCCCAGATATTGCAACATTAGAGATAATTTCTGTGAAGAAATAGACTGAATAACTGTTAGCTTGCTATGTATTTTTAGAGGATATTTATCCAGTGTTCTTTTCACAGAATATAGGAGAGTTGTCAAGATTTTATTGAAATTTGAATTAGCTGCAGAGGTAAATTTTTAATGATTCACTTTAAACTGTAAAAATAAGTTGCCAGTTGTACACTGCAAAAGTTAAATGAGGGTTACATGCCGTATTTTACATGGTTATAAAATACATGCATACATTTTTTGTTAAGTAATATTTAAATTCCAATATATTGGTTTATTAAGGCAGACAAACGAATTTAAAGATATATATTTTCCCCCAATCTGGCTGTACAAAGAGGGTGGATACTTTTATGATTTTCATTGATTAGCAACAATTTAAATTCCCACAAGTCCTCATCAAATGGCAGTTCTTCCATCGGATTGTTAACTGATAGCATCCATGAATTATTTATAAAACGGTGTTGTGTAATGATTTTCTTCTTCATTTACTTAGTGGTTGTTAAAGGCTACGAAGGGATTACCTTGTTTTCATTGGGCTTTGGCTATTTGGTAAAACTAGAAAGAATCACAGGTGATATAATTATTTCCGGGCATAGTCATTTATTTACATAATTAAGTATGAAATGTTGAAACGCATAACTGTGGAACCCGTGCTCAATTTGAGAGCAGTGCTCATCATGGGGCGGGTGGTGGGTTAGTTAGAGGAATTGTGCATTTAGAATAGACCTAACACTCTGTTATTAACTTTTAAAACACCACTCAATAGCTAAATGTTTTCCTTAGAAAAATCTTTACAATTTCAAGTTTTTAAATAAAAAAGAAATTTGTCCCAGAGCCAAGTTTTAGTAATGGCAGTGTTCTGTTGATCCTGGAACCTGGGCCACATGGTGAAGTTTTAATCTTTCCTCCTTTTAAAGTAGCCCTGATCTAGTTGTGTGAAGGCACCATCACAGACACTCACTAATACGAGTTTAAATATTGTGGTGTCCTTTATCAAGGAGAGCTGAACACACTTCCAAAGCTGTCACAACTGGCTAACTCTGGTCCAATTCATAAGGGACTAATTGGCCATGGGTACCTGTGAGCTGAAATACTGTCATGGCAGCTGTAGATCTGTCAGTATGATACAAAAGGTAATCAAGTCCAGTAATAGACTCTCTATGAATCTTAATAGCGTATCTAACCAAGAAATCATTAGAGACTGTTTACTCCATGTCATGTAGAAAAGCATTCTGTGAACTTTTAATGATCTTTTGATATTTTCTGGAATAAGTTGTCTTTCCAAAAGTGTACAAAAATATTAAATGTGTTGTGGTTAAGTTTTTGAGACTACCTACAATGGAAAATGAAGCTTTAAGAATTAAAGTTTGAGAAAACAACCTCAAACCAAAAAATAACATTTTTTTTTTTGTTGAGGCTAAAACTATTTTTAAAAAATCAGATAAAAGGTGAATGTTTCCTTCTCCTTGTCTCCAATTTTCTTCTCAGCAATATCCTAGTTTCTCTGGTATGAAATCTTCCCAGAAAATTTACTGTCTATTTACATAGGGAGAGTAATATACATGCATAGATGTAAATTGTGTTTTCGTAATATAAATAGAATTATACTTTCTGGAAGCTTCTTAGTTGTCAGTATTTATAAATATATTGCATCCTAACAGCTGCACACTTTCCCCATACAGTTGCATTTTAAGTTACTGAAATATTACTTGGAATTTGACTGTAAAGAATTTTTTTTTTTTTTTTTGAGATGGAGTTTCACTCCTGTTGCCCAGGCTGGAGTGCAATGGCCTGATCTTGGCTCACTGCAACCTCTGCCTCCTGGGTTCAACTGATTCTCCTGCCTCAGCCTCCCAAGTAGCTGAGATGACAGGCACATAATGCTACACCCAGTTAATTTTGTATTTTTAGTAGAGACAGGGTTTCTTCATGTTGATCAGGCTGGTCTTGAACTCCTGACCTCAGGTGATCCACCCGCCTCGGCCTCCCAAAGTGCTGGAATTATAGGCGTGAGCCACCGCACTCGGCCTACTGTAAAGAATTTTAAGAAAATAAAGAAATAAATGGTAAATAATTTCGCTTTAATGTAGTTATTTGAAATATTATTTGACTGTGCACCAATCACAAGTTTTACTGTGTGAGGCAAAACTTAACACCGACAGCATTGTGTAATATCCAAGGCACTGAATTTTTAATATAGAATTTCACACTTTGATCGGTGTCCCAGATTTCTCAGGAATGATTCAACTTCTAATTAGAAACCAATTCGAATGTTAGTCTGTAGCTTCTAACAGTAATTGTCTTATGCCAGGAAATTATTGGAGGAGAGGGAAGAACGATGAAATTATAAATTGATGAAAAAAGAAGCTGACTTGGTTAAAAAAAAATCAGTATTAATGACTGAATTGAGGAATATCTGCAATTGTAAAGTTCAGGGAAAAGAATGTGAGAGATAAAGCACCATGCCTGTCACCCTCACTCTTATATGCACCATCCAGGAAGAACTTAATAGAAGATCTTGATGTGAATTCGACAACACTGGATTTGTAAACCAGGCAGATGAGATTGCATATGTTTCTGGACAGCTTGTATCTTTGAATATGTGCATAAGGAGAGAAATATCATTGTACTTTATCAGCTGTGTAAGTAAAAATATAGCTACAATAAATAATCATGTAGGAAAAATTTTAAAAAGTTACTGGAAATGGGTATAATATTTTATATATTTATGTATATACATGGATGTATGTGTATATACATGGGTATATACATATATGCATAACATGCTTATACATATCTCATAGAGTTATTGGGAGAATTAAGATGAAACTATTTAACACATTTAAAGGCGTTAGTATAAGACAGTATATTGTCTTTGCTTATGCAATTGTAGTTTCCATTTTATAGTTACCATTCACTTGATAGGTCATGAAAGTATGGGCAAATATTTACGTAAAATGATAGTAAAATCAAATCTGTCATCCCTTGTTGGGAAGCTTAAGGTTTATTAACAAAGTAATATTTATTTTTAGGTTCTGATTCGATTTGGAAGGTCAATTCTTTGTGATAAGGATGGCTAGAGTTGCTGTGAAACCGAAAGAGTTGTTTCTTTTCTCTATCATGCTACCCGGTACTCAGAACAACTTGATCTGGCAAGTTATTTCTGCCTCCTTTTTATGTACCAGGCAACCATAGTTTGGTTTTAAGGAAAGATTTCTGTTGCAGGAGTCTAGACTGCTCTGAGGTTTCTATTCTCTGAACTCTTAGGTATAGTTAGAGAGGACAAAGAGGCATCGGTAGTGGTTCTATCAGTACTCCTGCTTCAGACAGCTGGGCAGCCCACACAGTACCTGAGAAAGGTGGCAGCGTCTGGCTAGAGAAAAGCTAAAGTTAAAAAGACAGTTGAAAGCTGGGCACGGTGGCTCACGCCTGCAGTCCCAGTGCTTTGGGAGGCTGAGGCGGATGGATCACCTGAAGTCAGGGGTTCGAGTCCAGCCTGGCCAACATAGTGAAACCCCATCTCTACTAAGAATACAAACATTAGCTGGGTGTGGTGGCAGGCACCTGTAATCCCAGCTACTAGGGAGGCTGAGGCAGGAGAAATGCTTGAACCTGGTAGGCTGAGGTTGCAGTGGGCTGAGATCGTGCCATTGCACTCCAGCCTAGGTGACAGACCAAGAGTTTGTCTCAAAAAAAAAGAAAAAGTTGACATATTGGTGGGGAAGGTGAAGTAAGTTCAGGAGAGGAAAAATTCAGACGTGATTGGGACTTGTGGTTATTCCAGATCTCAAACAAACAAAGCAAGTATTCTGCCGTTTTTACAAGATTATAATAGCACCATTTGTTCTTTCATTTCGTTAGAGTGTGATACTTACCACTGTGATACTCTTTACTGTTGGCTTTTCATAACTTGTGAGATTTCATTAAATAACACTGACATCAGAACAATCCTAGATATATCTCCTCAATGTTTGTACAATTGTATTAATAATGTCTTCTCCCATTTGTTTCAATAGGTTTAATATTTTTTAATGCAAAATATGTATTTTATCACCATTTACTGATCAACTAGTATATGCAGACCAAAAGTTATGTAGCCTCCAACAAAAAAACAAATGAATTAGAAGCACGCCTGTTATGTTTGAGGAGCTTGTATTCTTTTGCAGGAGATAGAAATGCAAACTCATAATGATGTTAGAGTTTGAAACATATTAGAGTCATCTGCAGAGTACTGTGGGAAAAGGGAACAAGAAACAAAAATTGTTACTTCCCGCTGGGCGTGGTGGCTCAAGCCTGTAATCCCACCACTTTGGGAGGCCCAGATGGGCGGATCACCTGAGGTCGGGAGTTTGAGACCAGCCTGACCAACATGGAGAAACCCCATCTCTACTAAAAATACAAAATTAGCCGTGCATGGTGGTGCATGCCTATAATCCCAGCTACTCAGGAGGCTGAGGCAGGAGGATCGCTTGAACGTGGGAGGCGGAGATTGTGGTGAGCCAATATAGTTCCATTGCACTCCCAGCTGGAAACAGAGCAAGACTCTGTCTCAAAAAAAAAAAAAAAAAAATTTACTTCTACTGAAAATATTCCTAATTGAGTCCTATATGCCTGTCATAACCCAGCCTATCCTTTATTTCTCTACAATATTGTTGGCTTCCACCATTTAAATAGCTGCTGAAATCTGACCATGAGAAGATCCCTTATGAGTGGCGAGGCACAGTTTGTTTTTTCACTCTTCTTAGTAAAATATCTTATAATTTATGTGGTAATTTCCTATGAACTACATATTTATGTATTTATCTTGAGTCTAGTCTTAATGCACTGAAGTGAACTTATTCTGATTTCATTCAATGTATAGTTTTTTATTTTTTATTTTTACTTTTTTTTTAGTTTCTTGTTTGTTATCTATGTCCTGTATATGGCATAGTGCCTGTTTTACATGAAAGTCTGTAGAGGACATGGGCTGCATCTACAGTTTTATTTATAAAGCATTCATCACAGTTATGAGCAATCAGGGCACTTAGCACAGCCTTTAGTGGAGGTGATATTTACCAATAAAGATCATGGGCCAGCCATAGAAGTGTATATGTATATCTAATTCTACACCAGATTACCTCTTTGTATATATTTTCCAGCATGGTCATGTCACTTACTCATGAATAAAAGCTTATCAAAGGTCATTACTCACAGAAATTGAGGGTTTAAAAGTTGTTGTTAAGAGCTTATTAAAAGAAGACTATCATAGACAATTATAAAATACTGCTCCTTTGTATTTCCTTATCGTGAGTAGACAAGGGAGTTTTCCCGCGTTTTATGAAAAACCAGCTGACACTTAAAAAAGCCCATTAGTAGAGCTCCTTAATTGTTCATTTGGATTTATGTTCCTCTAAGTCAGTTTGTTTGCTAATGTGTTCAATAACAACAAATAGAAAGTGCATTTTAATGTGAAAATCAATACTCAGTAGAGATCAACAAAACTACAGCCGCAAACAAACAGCAAACAAATGCTGTTTTTTTTTAAAAAAATCAAACAAGAATTTGAATTCTATTATACTGAATCCATCCAAAGAAAGATTTTTTTAAAGTGGTCAAGACTTAAAACAAGTGAGACAAGGTAAAAAAATTACAGAAAAAATATATATTCATAAATGTATTGTGAATAAACAACATGAATAAGACATTGAAACCTAAAAACTACCATTAAAACTATGTTGAGAAATCCAGGCCAGGTGCAGTGTCTGATGCCTGTAATCCTAGAACTTTGGGAGGCCAAGGTGGGAGGATCGCTTGAGCTCAGGAATTGAGACCATTCTGGGCAAAATGGTGAAACGCCGTCTCTACAAATAAATAGAAAGAAAAAATAATAAGCTGGGTGTGGTGGTGCACACCTATAGTCCCAGCTACTTGGGACTTGCCTTCAGTCCCACCTACTCAAGGCATGAGGATTGCTTGAGCCCAGGAAGGTTGCAGTGAACCGAGGTTATACCACTGCACTCCAGCCTAGGTGACAAATTAAGACTATGTGTCAAAACAAAAACAAACTATATTGAGAGATGCACCATATTACTGAGGTTTATAAGTGCAAATTTCTTAAATGTAACCATTATTTATTCTGCAATTATAGAAATGTAGTTCAAATGCTATTCTACAATTCTTCTACAGCTATTTATTGGGTACCTATAATGTACCAGCCACTATTCTGGATTCCTATAATATATGTGTAAATGAAAGTTGCTTTCATGAAGCTTAAATGTAATGGGCAGAGAGATGAATAGACAAGAAGCAATAATAAGCAATAAATATTATATAACACATATACATATGTCCACATACAAAAATGCTTATTATATGGCATGTTAGAGTGTAGTATCTACTATGGAAAAGAAGAAAAACAGAGAGAGGTTGAAGGGATCAGGCATGATGATGCTGAGAAAGGGAAGACTGCAATTCTAAGTAGGTTAATCTTTGTAGTCTTCTTTGAGGCCTACGGTTTCAAATAGTAGAACATGAGGGTTATCTAAAGGTAATATATATTTCCAAGTGTTATAAGAGTAATCAGATTTAAACCATTGGCCTCCATTACTCTTCTTTTTTGAGGTCCCCTAAATATATGTCAACATCAAGGACAAGCTGAAAGTCAAATTTGTCTGGACTTTAGCTCCAAAACTCAATGCAGAACTCTGTTGACATGGGCTTATTAAAAACAAACAAAGCAACAAACTTTTTTTTTCCTATATGAGATAGCCCTGAATTGAAACAGTAGGTAAAGTCCACTTTATTTATTTCATATTTAAAGACTAAAGCAGAATGTTAGAGCTATACGTTTGTAGGCAAAGGCAGTACAGTTTTGCCTATGGTCTTCTGCTACCACAGCAACTCAAGTACTGGGGCAGGTGATTGCATGATTGCAGCTAGTGAAAGTTGTCCACCCTGGGCTTCTCCATCCAGAATAATAATTCCAGATTTGGCTGTCATGTATGGGCAACTGAGATCAAGGGAAAGAGCTCACAGAATGAGTCCTTTATACTTTGCCACTTTGTATCATGAGAAGAAAGTCACTAAAATTGTACAACCATTCTGATGTTACACTAACTAAGACTGCAACTCAATATGATATTCTGTAATTTTTGTGGTCCAGACCATGCCTCCTCTGAGGAAGTGGAGCATGATATCCAGGAATCAGACTTATCTTAAAGGGGAATTGCACAAAGGAAGGCCTTGAGACACTTCAGAAGTGAGAAAATGCCAGCAATGTATGTTGCTTATGCATATTTGAAAAATTTTCTTCTTCAATGCTATAGCAACACATCTCTTACACATAATACACAGTAAGTCCCATTGTTTTTATGTTGTTGTTAATAAAACCTGGCCGAAGATGAGATATTTGTTTAAAAGTGTGCATCCTTAGATAAATATGTTATTTAACATATAAGTTTGAACCTGTGGGGCAGGGAGAATGGAATTGGATCCCTTGAAGTACATTATTTGATAATAGAGAAATTTATGAATCTAAAATTTTAGAGAAAAGTGTGTTAATTTAGCTCCGTAAGACAGAGAGATAATGGTGGGGAAGAAACAGGCCAAGTATCAGGCTAAGGATAGAGCCCATTATTATAGAAATGCACGTGAGATTAGCCCACATATTTGCCTCCAAGACTGATGATAGCTGGTGTGGAAACCAAAACTGTCCAATTACAGTATGGGGAGTTTCCATAGAATGAAAATTACAGTACGGAGAGTTTCCATAGAATGAAAACAGACCAATTGCTGAGAGGTGAATCTATTACAGGAAATGATAATACTATCCTACTATTTCAGAGTTACTTCTTACATAGGTGACTCAGACTATCATTTATCTCAAACACAGATAGTGCTTTGATGATTCTGTGTGTTTTTAATTCTTTGGCATAAGCTGTTTTTCCAATAGATCTAAAGCATCATCTCCCCAGTATAATTTAAATCATTTTGAGGTTCAGCTAATCTATCATGTTTGTGATAATAGTTTCTTTTTTCTTTTGCTTTCTTTCCAAACTGCCATACAATTTCTAGAATTCATTCTGCCTTCTTGCACATTTTCTAGAGATATGATACATTTTACTAGTTCATTTATTTTGCAAATATTTTTCAAGTATCTCCTATAGACCAAGGGAGTATTTTAGTTGCCAGCAATATGGTGATGTACAGGAGAGTGCGTACTGTCACAGAGCTTATAGACCAATTGGGCTAGATAATGAATAAACCAATTATTACAATAGATTGAGATGGTAATTTTGATTTAAATAAAAAGAGAATAATGAAATGCAGTAAATTTAACTCAAATTGGCCCAAGCAAAATAAAAGGATATTTTTGAACTGGAAACATTTTTGTTAGACCTAGGGCTGGCTTTGCAGAGATGTGATCAAGCAGCTTAAGAGATATTTCTAATTGCATTTATAAACATAATAAATAGCTAGTGGAAATAACACTTGATAAATGCGTTCTAATGATTAACACAGGAAACGTTCAGCTGCAAATAAGAGAAAACCCTGCGAAAACCAGTTTAAATAGTAAAGGAGATTTAATGATGCAAGGAAATGTAAAGTCCAGAGGAAGGGTATGATTTTTTTTTTTTTTTTTTTTGGCTTTTTTGTTTTGTTTTCTTTTGTTTTCGGTATTTTGGCTCTGTTGCTAAATAGTTTTCTCATCTTTACCCTTCTTTGTGGTTGAATTCTCTCTTCACTTTCCCTTTTCTTTGTAGCAACAATGTTGACAATAGTTCCATTGTGTCTGTCCTCAAATCCTCTAAGGTGTTTTTTTTTTTTGTTTGTTTTTGTTTTTCTTGAGTCGGAGTCTCACTCTGTAGCCCAAGCTGGAGTGCAGTGGCGCGATTTTGGCTCAGTGCAAGCTCTGCCTCCCGGGTTCATGGCCGGGTGCAGTGGCTCACAACCTGTAATCCTAGCACTTTGGGAGGCCGAGGTGGGCAGATCACGAGGTCAGGAAATCAAGACCATCCTGGCTAACATGGTGAAACCTCATTTCTACTAAAAATACAAAAAATTAGCCGGGCATGGTGGCAGGTACCTGTAGTCACAGCTACTCGGGAGGCAAATCCTCTCAGGTTTTAAATGCTAGGCCCGTATTAAAACCAGCCTCTCTTTTCAGGCAATCTCATGCATTAAATGACTTCAATCTGTGGAAATAAAAATACAGTATTCTGGTTCCTAATACATATGATGTGTAAATGTTGTATATATTATATCCATTAAATTATAATCCTTTTCATGGCCTTTATTATGGTATTTTAACATTGTGTTCAGTATCTATTAAGTAACTGTCTATGTGTTTTTGATCAGAAGGTAGATAAGATGTCATATGGTATAAATACTCTAGATCCTACTAATGAATGGACTAGATAATGTTTTCCCCTAATGGATCCTACCACTGATTCCATTCTAAGTGTGTAGTGGCTGCATTAGGAAGTAACTGATTCCAACTTTTCTTGTAGAGAACATGTATCATTTGCTGATTCATTAAACTGGTCAGAGAGACTGTGTCTATCTTTATCACTGATGTGCTTACGAACTATATTCCTGATTTAAACAAGATATAAAAATATATTAATAATAAATTGAAAATGCATATACTTAAAAATAGGCTAACATCTAAGAAAGATATCTTGGAATCTGTGATTTTTCTTACTTTTACATCCAATTTAAAAAGAGTTGTACATATGATAGCAATAGCAGATTTCATATTTAGCAAAGAAATGTAGTTTTCATTTGGTTCATAACAATGCTTCAATTGAACAGCCTGTTATTAACCATGTCAGCCTGATTGCTTTCTGACTACCGTTTTCAATTAGTCACAATCTGTTTTATTCATACAAAAGAGACTGAAAGATAAAAGGAGAATTCAGTTACCAAATCACAAACCTGAATAGGCACAGTAATATGCATTTCGCAAAACTATTTTGCTTTGTACGGAAGTAATTTTTCTGGATTTAAATAAACGAAGCCAACTTGATTAGTCATGCATACCCAGACATGTCATCGTTCACAGTGCTTCAAATATTCTAGTTCATATCTGATCAGCTTTTATTCATTTTGTATCATAATGTCTCTGAATTGCCTGTCTTCTTTCATGTTTAATGTGTTTTAAAGGCTTTAAAAAAACACCATATCATTCTTGGAACCTACATGTTTAAAATTATTCTACAATGGTAAGAAAATTAATGCCTGATATCTTCCATGATAATAAAAGTGACACATAAAGACAGCTCTCTCCTTCCTTCCTTAGAAAACTCTTAGATTTTTCTACCTATTAAGGCAGAAATGGGAGGAAAAATTGTCCCTTCCTATGCTTGCAAAGTGAAAATTATTCAGTTCTCCTACTTTACTATATTTTAAATGATTTATTTTGTATATTACCTCCATTAAAAATGTTTCTGTGAATCTTTAATGTCATAAAACCTTTAGATGCCATCCCAACATTAAAAACTACTTGTTAAATCCTGCTTGGGTCCTAAGTCTCAGGACAGGTAACAGGAAAGTAATCTCTTTAGCTTATCTTGTTTCCATCTGCTTATGTTTCTTCCCCACAGATGGGATATGTTCTCCTTTAACCTTAATTCAAAAGGCTTCATATATAACCACTTACTAAAATAGACACTTGGATTATTAATTTGGACTATTAAGACCAAGAAATAATCTTAAGGTGCCCCAGCTTTGTATGGTATTTCTACCTATTTGTCATTTTGATCTTCTAACGGAGAGTTTGAATGATCAACTTTTATAGTGTAATTTATTATGTTTAAATTTTACAATTTGGTTCAACAATGCAGTGTATATCTTTTATTTTTTGTACATAATATTCTTTCAGTTTGACATTCTGGGTTTAAATAGTGTTACTTATGTTGAGATTTCAAGGATAAAATGTGTTTAGTTAATTTTTAAAAATTCCGTCTTCCAGTGGAGGCAGGATCACAGACTTTAGGCAAACAAAGTAAAAATCTTAGTTTTACTCATTCTGAATCCTGACTGATTTAAAAAAAAACTTACTGCATTTGAGTTATTTTGTATGTGTATATTTCTTTGCTATGGTAACAATTCTCCTAACCATAGGTAATTAATTAATCTAGTAAATTACTTGAATTTGGGCCTTGCTTTTGAAAAATGTCCCAGAATAGACCACTATCATCAACAAAATCAACAAATATTTGGTACTGCAGTAACATAAGACAGAATTCCAAATGAAATACTTGTATCCTGATAGTTCTCTGCTAACAGGAATCCTAGATTTATTATATTACATGATGTAGTTTGACCAAAAGCTAGACCCAAGCATGTACACGCATCCCCACACACATCAGTGGAATGTTCGTTCTAGAACCTGGGGTGATGAGTTTGGGACTATTTCTGTTTGGTATTCAAAAAATGACTTCATCATGTTGAGCATTCGGTTTCTGGGAAACAGAGCAGGGAACTCTGGCGGCCATTCTAACTTGATATAGTGTGGATCATTTTGGTCCAAACATCACCAGTCCAGTGATAAAGTAAATCAAATAAAAATAATAAATCAGGTTAGGTTTATCTTGCTTATTTGGTAATTATAAATATAATCTCAGTTTTATGGGATGAGCATTTTTTTGAAAATTGAATATTACTTAATATGAATAGAAGATTAATTCACTTAATGAGCTAACCTATTAGAATTCATTAGATAGAAATTGGATGAAAATTAGTCAACCTTATTTTTGTATATAAAAGCTAACCAAAATTTATATATATGAGAATATAAATGTACATATGATTATAAATATGTATATTTCCTAAAACTCAGAAAATCATTTAATCTACCTTAGTCTCCATTAAACCATTTGTAAAATAGGGAAAAGAACACTACCTACCACATAAGCTGTTACAAGGAATGTATTAATAAAACATGTCAGGATTGTAACACCATATAATACCAGGCACATGATAATTGCTCAGTAAAATGGATACTATAATTTATTTTATTTCTAGTGTTCAACATGCACTATTTTGATGTATAGCCATTTAATTTGTTCACATTTCTTATTCATAGATGATTCCTTCATGATTCATCTATGAAGAAATCAGATCTCTCTTGCTCCCTTTTAGCTTTTTCCAAAAATCTGTTTTGTAAAGCTCCGTTATATATTTTTCTGGCAGAGAAACATGCCGAAATATTCCAATGCATTTCTGGGGCTGTATTTAAAAAGCAGAGTCATATTTTGTAAGGGAGTCCTTATGGTGTCACAGTAAATAAGCATGGGGAATACCTGGGGCAAAATTCTTGCTCTGACATTCGAAGATTTTGGTCCAATTTATTACAACCTAAAGGATAGAAGTCAGGATGAAACTATTTGTTTGCTTGCCCATTCATGCCACCATATTGCCTCACTAGGTAAATAATTTTGAGATAGTATAATAGTTAAAAGCATGGGCATTGAATTCTGCCAACTTGGGTCTGAATTCTTTCACTGTAAATTCAAATTCTTCAACTGTAACATGAAGATAATTAGTACTATCTCAAAACGTTGTTGTGGGCACTAAATATATGTAAAAACCTCAGCACAGTGATATATTAGAAGAGCTTAATACAATTAACTTAATATTCATGAAGCTTGGACACACGGGAAGCCTTTGAGAAGCGTATGTGATTCTTACATGCCACGTACCTTTTGGAGATAAGAGTCATGGGAAGTCTTTGTCATTAGTTTTCATTTTAAAAACATGATTATAATATTTGAGCATCAAAAAGTGCCTTGTGGCCGAGGTGGGTGAATCACCTGAGTTCAGGAGTTCAAGACTAGCCTGGCCAACATGGCGAAACTCTGTTCCTACTAAAAATACAAAAAAAAAAAAAAAAAATTAGTCAGTTGTGGTGGTGGGTGCCTGTAATCTCAGCTACTAAGGAGACTGAGGCAGGAGAATCGATTGAACGTGGGAGGTGGAGGTTGCAGCGAGCAGAGATGGCACCACTGCACTCCAGCCTGGGACAGAATGAGACTCAGTCTCACACACACACACACACACACACACACAAATACACACACACATAATAATAATAATAATAATAATAATAATAATGCCTTGTACCCTTTCCCTGTACCAGGTACAACATTGCAGAATATGTCATTTTAATGGTTTTCATCTGAAAAAAATTATAACAAATTATTAATACAAAAATACTTTAAAATTGGATTTTTCTTGTTGATAATCACAAAACTTTTTACGTGCATTCAAAAAATAGTAATGGCATGTGCACGGATATAAGTATATGTGTTAGAATTCTGTGTATGGTTTAATTTGCTTCTCTCTGGACGTTGGTTTTGTCACCGTATTGTTGCAGGTTGCTATGGCTGAAATATGGCCAGGCCACCAGTAACTCCAGATTTTTAAATCTTAAAGCTTCAGCCACTGTGTTGTGTTGAGGGCGGCTAGATGTACTCTCAGGCTACAAGTTTAGACATCCTGGGGACAGGAGACGAGATGGGTATTCACACACGACTCAGCACCTCTGACTGTGGTCAGGTGTCTGTGGTCCTAACACGGTGCTTCATTGACAATGTGGGTGGAATGAGTGGCTCCCAAGTGGAGTATCTTCAGCTGAACAGAAAATAATCCTAACCGTAAGAGTGAAACATAATATACAATCTTACCCCAATTGAAATAGCACTCTTAAAAGAAACACATCAAAAGTGAAAATGAGCATTAAATTCAGTGCATAATTTGTTCCCAGGAAAACTGCTACTCCCTGTAGAGAATAAACTGTATCAGGTATGAATGCTTCAAATATCTTTGAACCCATTCCATGTAAATTTCCATAAATAAATCACAGTGGAGCATTGGAATCAATAAAGTAGGACATACAGTTGAAAGATGCTTATGTTAAAAAACATTACGTCTGTATACATTGAATTCATTTCAAAAGAGACTACTTATCTTTTACAAAAATACTGTTTGGTATACACACAAACACACAAAAAACCCCAATGTTCTATTTTACATTTAAGGGGTTGTGTTTAGAGACTTAGGAGTCACCATATAATCATGATGACTTTTGTGATAATTGAGGTTAGATTTCTTTGGCAAGTGTAGTATCTTTTCTCTTTAGTGTGTAATAAATTGAATATCTGTCCTTTGTGCTAGAAATGTTTTAATATTTCCCATTCTTATGCCAGGTTTATTTATTTTATTTACACATCCTGAGATAGAGAGTGGGAGGGGAGAGAGTGAATGAGGAAATATGAATATAAATACTGATTTTATCTCAATTTATAATGTGGATACTAAGCACCTCCAACTTATACTGAAATGCTATATTGTTTTTTACTACTAAATGCAATAGTGGACTTGTCTATTATTATTAGTTGAGCATATTCAGGTATTTCTGATTTTATTCATATTATGAAAAAGTAAAGACTTAAGAAAATGTGTGAAACTTACGCAATGTGGAACGTGAAAAATCTTGTGTATAAAATTTTTAAAGAACAAATGGAATAAAAAGCAGGTTTTTTAAAAATTCCACTGACATTCAGTTCCCATTTTTTTAAATCTCTACGTTTGAATGCCTTGTTATATTTAATATCTATTATGCTAATGACCTTGTGGGTTGGATGCTGTACAAATATATTTATAGATCGATATTTATGGAAAATGGTAACAAACATATTAAAACAAAAATAATTTCTAAATATATAATCTTTTACTGTATAATTTATTGTTTGTAAGAAAACAAGAGAATAATAATTGTTATTGCACTTATCTGTAACTTACAACTCTAAGAAATAATTGAAACTGATAAAATTTAAAATGTAAGCATAAGTCTTTTAAAAAAAAATCTGTTTGGGTTATTTCCTGAAGGAGTTTTCAGAACTTCCAAGAGTGTGAAAGACTAAATTTGTTATATAAAAATAATATACTAAATTCCCTACTTGGTTGTATCAATGTCCAGAAAACTGTTGATGGGAACAGATTTTTCCTCTTTCCCCATGCCCCTCCCCTGGGTCATTTCTTCTTGTAGCTCGGTTAAATTTCATACCATATATATATATGGCATGTATGTATATAGATACGTATATGTATGTGTGTATATATATATGTGTGTGTGTATATATGTACATACATACACAGGCACACATATGTCTACATATATTATGTATGTGTGTATTTAGAGTCAGGGTCTCACTCTGTCACCTGGTACAGTAGCACGATCATAGATCACTGCAGCCTCAAACTCCTGGGCTCAAGCATCCTCCCACCTCAACCTCCAGAGTAGATGGGACTAAGGCATGCACCACCATTCCTGGCTAAGGAAAAATATTTTGATCCTATATCATCTCTTTGGAATTTCCACAAGGCTCCTGGCAACAGATCAATATGTATTATACAGATCTAGCTTCCAAAAGACTTAGGTTGACCCACTGAAATCTTAGTAGTGACTGCCATGCATTTGGCACCTTGGACATATCTCAGAGTGTGGGTTAAGATGGGGGTGGCAACTAACACATGTGTTTTCTGATTCAACACACACACACACAGTAGTGTTAAAATCATCAACAGAAAATGAAGTGATGTTGCACAGCGAAAGAGAAATGCTAAAAGTGCAGGTAGAGACACAGTGAAACTGAAACTTACAGTCAGGGAAAATAAATGGAAGGAGAGGATGAAAAATTGTTGATGAAATAATACATTTACGTTATACAGAGTAAATATCCAGTCTTTGAAATTGTTATTGGAGAGCTAAGTGTTAGGGTCATAATGATGACAAGTAAAACATTCCTTCAAGGAGATATCAGTCTAGTCAGAATGATGGATCTGAACACAATGTTTTAATTCAGTATGATAAAAAGCTGTTATAAAATGAAAAGCTGGATGGAGAAGAGAAGACGATAGTCCCTGAGGAAAACCTTTGTATTGCCTCTTTTCACTTTACCCTGCTGGTACATAATTGCCATGTGGAATGAATAAATGAATGACTGAAAGGTATTTCTTCAGCAATAATCTCTCATTGAACATTTTTAAACCAGGGAAATCAGATTCCCTTTTTTCAGTCATTCTGCAAGTGTTACTATTAAGCTTTCTCTGAGCCAGTAGTTCCAAGTTAAAGTATTTTTCTTGTCCATTGTATACAAATGAACTACACCTCTACGTGGATCCAGTATTCTCATTTCTCCATCCAACAAGCCTTCCACAGAGATACTGATTTTATTTCTAAATAAATTCAGTTACTTCTCCAGAAAAAAAGGAAGTTGGAATGGGGTCCAGGGTAAATTTTGATATGGATGCATTTCTCCAAATGACATCCACCAAGGCAGACCAAGCCCTATGGATAGAAGATGTTATCTGGCTTTGGGCAGACAGCCTCAAGGGAAAAGCTTTGGAATGTGTTCTGGCCTATAGACCTGTTGGCCCAAACAGAAGGATCAGCTGTACTTTTTAGAATAATATAGGCACATTTGGCGTTTTCAATGAAAGCAGGGAAGTAAATATTGTGCAGTGCACGTAGCTCAGCAGGCTTAGTCTGCAGAAAACAATGCCTCTGTTTCTTTATCTCTGCTCTTTTCCATTTTCTTTATGCTCCCTATGGTGGTTTTTAAGAATTGTGTTTTTGTTTGTTTGTTTGTTTTTTAAATTTTTTGAGAAGCCTAAAAGAGACGAAACCCTTGCCAACATCTAACCCTGTGGCTATTCAACAGCCTGTAACTGTGGGCTCAGCCTCTTCTTCAGGCATGCAAAACCTGTAGGAGAGAATTCAAGAGGCAATATTTGCTAGAGGAAAAGATTATGAAACAACAGGCAAAGAAAACCTGTCCTTTCGGATCCCCAGAATAAAATACATGGGGAATTCTCCACGGGATTTAATCTATCATTGAATTTCACTGTGTCATTATTTTCTATCTTCATAGTTTTCACTTTTTTAGTACATGAGCATGATAATTTTGAATTATCTTCTTTCCTTCTAAAGGACTTTTATTCTTTAGTTTCTGGTTTTCTTTTTGCAAGACGGAAAAAGAATAAAAATATTTGCCCAAGATATGGCTGAATAAACTTGATGGGTGTCGGGCGGGGGAGAGCAAACTGAGGGGAAATCTTCACTCTTTTTCTAAAATATTTTCAATTTTATTGCATTAAATTATGCAATACTGTATCTTTATGTATAGATTCTGAAGTAAACTTAAGTATTTTATTCTTCCCCCATTCTACAATTAACTTTACAAAATAAAAGAACAAAAATTTACTTCATATTTTAAAATAATGTAAAAAGGAAATAAATCTGATTCATTTTACTTTTCTATAGGGCACAGTATATGAAAAGTTATTTCATATAAAACAGTATTCCATTAGTGATTTAATATTTAAAACTGTTCAAAACATGAACTTATGAGCAGTCTTAAGCAATATGGTTATTTGTAAATATAGTTTTCATGTTCAGTAATAAAGGTAAAATATGGTTATTTGTAAACATAGTTTTCATGTTCAGTAATAAAGGTAAAATATATTAATAAGAATATCATCAATGATAACATTTGATACGGTCTATAAAGTAGGAATTCTATAGCATAGAATGGTAAAATTTGGGGGCATTCACTAACATATTAATAATCATGACTTTATTTAGAAAAATTTATTCTTAAAGAATGTGCTGATTGTGCATACTTTTTTAACTCTAAGAAAATCCACGCAGTCTTTTATGATATTTGAGTTAATTAAGCAGATTAGTGAAGTGGTGATCAGCAAATTAGTGAGAAAATTTAAATGCTCATGGTACAAACATTGTAGCAAACGCAGTTTCCTATGAAAATCATACTGAGTCTCAAGGTTTTAGGTCCTTGGTTCTTGGAAAGTAACTTTTGAATATTTATTCCTATTACTAAGCAGGTTTAGTGAGAAATTCAACATTGTGATAAAGGTAAAGTGTAAATATACAGGTAACATACATTCATAGCTGAAATGTAAATGCTTCTAACCTCTTCCTTATGTTTGTACACTAAAACTAATGGCTAAGTAGTGTTTTGTATTCTCAGGAGTATTTGTATCAATGAGCATCTTCCCTTTCCTTAAGTACACTGGAAATTTATGTACTATAATTTTTGCTAAGGATGAATAAGATTATCTGGGTTATGTACGTATGTATACAATAGGTACAATTTTATTAAATGGAGATCCAAGTAAACTGAATAGATAATTCAGCTTGTTTACACTTAGTTCCCTGAATTTCCTATATTGTAAAGAGGGCATGTGACTTGATTTCTCCAAATTGTCTTTGCTCACTAAATGGGTGGCATAGGTGCTTAAATTTTCCTCCATATTTATCTCCACATGGGCCAGACTAAGAAAAGGCAATGTGCACAATAAGACTGAATTTTTGTTGAGTTTTAAAGTTGTTAATTTTACAAAACTAATGTCAGTTGCTGAGGTGTGTGTGTGTGTGAGCGCGCGTGCACGTGCATAAGTGCTTATGTATTTTAATTCATGAAATTTATTGTAACTGCTCACCTGTGTTGTCAGTGTTTAAATGCCTGCACAGATGGATCATTAGACTGACGGCAGATGGTTTATTTGAATTGCAAGTTTGGATTGTTAGCATGGTATATAAACTTTAGGCTCATGTTTCTTGTCTAGAATATATGAATATTTATAGGGTGAAATCTAGGTTTTTTTTCCCTCTAAATCAGTACTATACTCCAGTTATCATTTTCTTACTATTGTAATTACAAATCAATAAATAATTATGCCTTAAATAATTATGCTTTATTGTCAATATGGAGGACTAAACAGACGGGAATATTAAAATAGTTTAAATTTTGCCACCTTAAGTTTATATGGGAGTTGGAACAGTTCTGAAAAAGTTTTGTGATTAAATTGAGTTATTAAAAGAGAAGTTGATATTGATACTGTTCTACTTCTTAAATCATTTAAGCTTTACCGACATAATTGTCTATCTATATTTCTTGCAATACTTTGAATTTATTTAATGATTCATGGTGTTCAAATACCACATTTAATTGTCCTTTCAGACATACTTTTGGAAAAGCAATTTAGAAAAATATCTACATTTTATATTTTTGCATTAATTGTGCTAGTATGGTTTATTGCCAACCAATTTTGACAATAATATAAAAAGCATTTCAGTTATGATTTTTCAGATTATACATTTAGCAGTTCTGTAAAATAACAGCTTGTTAATGTTTTGAATGTAAATACTTATTTTATTACCATAAATGTTATATTATGGAGAAGCTAAAATGCTTAAAACTACTTGGAAAAATTTAATGCTTATCTGTTATAAAACGTAAAACAAACAAAAGTGTCATCTATTTAGAAGAGAGAAAGGATAGAATGGAAAAATATGTGTAAGAGGCTTTAAATACTTCCTTTGTGAGGATCTACTGTAAATGCAAACACAGTAAAATCAGTCACTTATTTCTTGGTTGATGGTCTAAAAGATGGGCTTAATTTTTGTAGATGTCAATTATGTTAATACGGTTATTGCTCCAAAATACAGGGTGAATTAATGGGAGGGCAGGAGATAGGATAAGGATCCCCTCACCTCTCCCAGGAAAACAAGAAAGCAATTAAGAATCAACCGTCCTTCATAGTTAAATACACAAGCTTTAGACATATATATTCCTGGTTTTAATTTCTGTTTTTCTAGTTACTGCAGTTTTACAAGAAAACCTTTGTTCCCTCACCTGCTTTTGAGGTCAAATGTTTTATGTCTGAAATAAGTACATAATTAAAGGTGCCAATTATTTTTAATGGCAGATTATGCTGATGGATGGTATATGTTGCAGAATAATAGTTTTCTTTCTTTATCCTGAGTTATCCATGTCATCTTAAGGGTGCTGGCGAAGAAACCTCCAACAACTGTATGTTTAAACATAAATGGATTCCTGACTTGGTGTTTGCCCTTACATCTACCTGTTTTTTTGCAAAGATAACTTAAAGAAATTATGGTGAGAAAGACTCAGATCAACTCCAGGCAAAGGGGGAGATGATCCTCAAATTAAATAGATAATTTTATTCCCCTTTGTGATCTGAAATATGGCATAAGCACTCCAGCAATCCCAGGACGACTGAGAAAGCACAGAGTTGACTAATATGAACTGTGTGGCACCTCAGGAAACTGAGTTGTGCCTATGTCAGCTCTTAATTAGTGCAGTTCCACACTGAGAAGGAGATTTAAAAACAATGGGACATCATTAGTGGACATTCATAGTACGTTATTTTGCCAACTTACCAAATGTGTTTGTGAGCCATCCACAGGGCCCCACTAAGATAGGCAGCATTATCTTATTCCTTTGGTAGCCTGTGAAGTAAAACTTTGGTTATAAAAGGAAAGGAAAGGAAAAACACACACACACCCCTACCTACAGATGAATCTGTGATTGCTGGTAAACCCGTCCTGGTGTAGCACAGTCAAGGTCACTGTTAAGTCACTTGAGGATCCTTCCCTGGAATTAGCAAGTTGAAGGATTCCAACTGTCTTGGTTAAAAAGGTAAGCTCTTTAATATACTCAGATATTTGATTTGGAATAAACTTTTATCTTTTTCCAGGAGATGTATTAAAGTCAATGACTCTAGAATCTAAGATCAAGCTGAAAGTAACCTCTAGAAGTTATATAATGCTTGATAGCTACAATCACTTATGCATTTTATTATTATATGCTTCACGTTTTTAGCTGCCAATTTTGACCCCATCCCCACAGAATAAAGAAAGTGTTGACTTTGTAATAAGGCCTATAGATGTGCTTGCAAAAGGAGCTAGGGAGACCATTTCCATATGCAGATGTTGTTTATTATATAAGAACTAAATTACGCCTCCTCTATTTGGTGGGTGGTACGGAAAGGTTTTGCTGTAGTGAAATTAAATGAGAAATTGCGATAGAACTTTGGATAAAAATGGAAGCCCCTGTTGACCTAGCATGATAAGTATTCCTTCTGGAATATGCATAGTGTTCACATTAGAAAGTGTCCTTTCCCCTTTCCTTTTAACGTTGTGACTCTTAGGAGGAAGATTAATTGTAAATAATATAATCACTATCATCCTTAAGGATTTTGTTACTTATTACCTCATGGCTGTACAGAAATAAACTAGTTTTCTAAAAGGAAGACTAATACAAAACAAAGAAGAATTTACATTAAAATTGAGTAATACTGGTCAGTTTTAGACCATAAATAATTTTGCTTTAGAGTTTTGTGGTGTGTGGGTAATTTTTGATTTCAACAAAAAAGAGAGACAGAATATGTAAACTCTATATTCCAAAATGGTAATCTGGATAACTAATCTTAAATCCACGTGTGTATGTAACCTAAAAGTGCTTTTAAATCATATGAAGTTTGTGGATAATTAATGGATTCCAATTTTATTTCTCTATGTAGATAATCTTATTGAATATGAATAAATGCAGTGAATTATTTAATGAAACATTGGATGGCATACTAGAAACTTGTCTTTATATGTTTGATTTTTCCCCTTTTAATTGTCTTATATGCAGATGCTGTATTTAGATATGAACCAGCCCTTTATCATAATGACTCTTAAATCTTATTTTCCACCTAGATTTAAAAATTAGAGCCTCTTTGAATTTTCCTAAAGAACTATTCTCTCTCTCACGCACACAGACACACATACACAGTAGTAATTAACAACATATAGGTATTAAATGTTTTCAGGGGAACAGATCAATATGGGTACATTCTATACTCCACAACTAACACAATTAAAAGCCCTGATAATGCATGTATATTCTTTCAGGTCCCTTGTCAACCCTTTAGCCACCAATCATAGTTGTTGAAATTTACAACTGTAGGTTCTTCCTCCCAGAGAGAGCCTACCTGGGGGAGTCTCTTATCTGCAGTAGGCAAAGCAATTCAGGCTGTTCCAATTTCCACTTACTCCCTGTCCTGCGGCCCGTTCTCCCTCTCATTTTCAGACTCACAGGAACAATATCAACGGCATAGTTAGTAGGGTTATCTTCTTTTGCAAGCAGTTTAACAACCAACTTTCATGACCTACCATTGTATGTCCTTGGGATACCATGACTCCTCTGAAGGAATCTTAATAAATAAAATATTCTCAGTCTATTAAACCCAAATGGGCTTTAGAAAGTCATGTAAACTGCTGCTAACCATAAGAGATGTCAGAGGAAAACTTAAGAGTGGTGTATCAGAATGGTAACTGCAGAGGAAATTTTACGAGCTAGGTACACTGCTCCTATTGAGGACTAACTGAGAAAGGGTTATTAGTTAATTAGTCCAAGTTTCACTGGGGGAAGAAAAATTAAAAACTTTTTTTAATCAGTTGGGTCTAGCTAGCGGCTTATATCATTTACTTTTTAAAAGTAATTTGATAACAAATGGAATGGGAAAGAGAATCTTTGAGAGTGGTTTAGATCACACATGATGAAGGAGAGGGAACCAGGAAAATCTTGTGGAAAGAAAAATACTGAGGCTGTACAAGAGGGGAGAATTCTAGCATGCTGTAAAATCTTGTCAATTAGATAAGATGATTCCCCCTTAGAAAGAAGATAAATGATGGGAAATAATGTTGAAAACAGAGATTTTTTGTAATATAAAGTAGAGATCCCAAAGAAATTTGCATAAGA
This sequence comes from Homo sapiens, assembly GCF_000001405.40. Taxonomy (NCBI): domain Eukaryota; kingdom Metazoa; phylum Chordata; class Mammalia; order Primates; family Hominidae; genus Homo; species Homo sapiens. Next base: position 14,738,136 of record NC_000008.11, on the reverse strand, counting down.
TCACTTTCATCTAGAAGATGAGGTCGTCTCAAGAGCAATATCGTGTGGCTGTCACCAGTATGGAGACTAAAGTGCGAACGCCAGGATTTATATGTGAGAGCTTTCTACCTCACTACCTGTGTGAACTTGGGATCATTATTTATTATCTTGCTTACTTTCTTCATCTGTAAAGTATGTATGAAACTATATCTAAGAGGTTGGCTTTTAATATAGAATAAAATAATGTATCTAAACTATTCAGTACAGTACCTTTTATGAAATAAACTCTCTTCTACCTAAAATCATATGTTGTTATCCTAACTCATAGTGCCTCAATATGTGACCATGTTTGGAAAAAAGTTTCTATAAAGAGATGATTAAGTTAAAATGAGGTCATTAGCACAGGCTCGAATCCAATATGCCTGATGTCCTCATAAGAGAAAATAAGACACAGTTATGGAGAGAAGGCCATATGAAAACAGACAGAGGATGGCCGTCTGCAAACAAGCCAAGGAGAGAGGCCTCAGAAGGAATCAATCCTGCCAATACCTTGATCTTAGACTTCCAGCCTCTAGAATTATGAGAAAATAAATTTGAGAAAATGCTTAAGCCACACACTCAGTGCCATTTTGTTATATCAGCCCTAACAAGGTAATACAGTGCTTGAGACATAAGCACGAAGTGAATGTTAGCTGTTGAAGGAGGATTGATTGAAATTAAGAAACTTGGATTCTCAGTGACAATAAAAAAGGTACAACTTAACTAGATTTCAATCAAAAATGGGTCACATTAGCTTGCTTCCAATTGACCGTCTGTGATTCTGAGGTTTTTGCTTCATTAGAACTTCTAAACTTCTAAGAATAACTTTATAAAATTAATATTAGTCTGTAATCCTATTGATCAACAATATAGGATACTAAGAAACCCTCTACCATCAAAGAAAAATATCATTTATCCCATCATACATATATATATATGTATGATATATATATCTGGTATATAGATATATATATATCTTATATATCCAGTATATAGATATAAATCTTATGTATCTGGTATATAGATATATATCTTATATACCAGATATATACTGTTATATAGATATATAGCTATATGTCTGGTATATAATATATATATCTATATACCAGAGTTTCTTTATCCACTTGTTGATTGATGTGGATTTGGTTTGGTTCCACAATTTTGCAATTGTGAATTGTGCTGCTATAAACATGCATGTGCAAGTATCTTTTTTGTATAATGACTTCTCTTTTCTGGGTAGATACCCGGTAGTGGGATTGCTGGATCAGATTGTACTACTTTTAGTTCTTTACTCAGCCATAAAAAAAGAACTAATTAATAGCATTTGCAATGACCTGAATGTGATTAGAGACTGTGATTCTAGGTGAAGTAACTCAGGAATGGAAAACCAAACATCGTATATTCTCACTGATATGTGGGAGCTAAGCTATGAGGACACAAAGGCATAAGAATGACACAATGGACTCTGGGGACTTGAGCGGGAAAGTGGGAGGGGGGTGAGGAATAAAAAACAACAAATATGGTGTAGTGTGTACTGCTCAGGTGATGGGTGCACCAGGATCTTACAAATCACCACTGAAGAACTTACTCATGTAACCAAATACCACCTGCACCTCAAAACTTATGGGAAAATAAAATAAAATAAAAGTCATTTATCCATTTATTTTGATTTTATAGCCAGTTTGCGTTTGAAATGTCTGGAAACAAATGCTTTCTTTCATTTAATGTAGAATGCAACAACTAACGACTAATAAAAAAATGTTGCAGATTATTTAAAGGGAATTTATGTTGCAGACTATTTAAAGGGAATTTATGTTGCTTAATTGTGATGATGATCCAGTTACACAAACTGGTGCTGTGTTGGCTCTAAGATTTATGAGATTTTGAAATCAGAAGAACAAAAGGTGGTTTACTGTATGAACCTCTACAAAACATGGCTCATATATTCATATTTCTGGAATGAAGTAGGTTCAAGCAGGGAGCATGATTTGGAAAAATATTTACCAAAAGCACCAAGTATGATAGTCTATAATCTGTAGACATTAGATGAGGGCTTAAATGCAGAGTAGAAATCACATCCTGTGATGTGATTTTCTTTAGGTCTCAGCCTGCTTACAATCTCCATACTCATTTACACTTATCAAAATTTTCTTAATATTTGGTAGACTTTTATCTTGGTGTCTTTGCTCATACTGATCACTCAGTCAGGAATGGCTTTACTCGCTCTTGGTGCCTCCAACCCTGCTAAATTCCTACTCAATTTGATTGTCAGCAAGGCCTCCCTAATAGCACAAGCTACAATTTTCCATTATTTGTGTGTCCATGACATGTTATACTAATATATTTATATTAATATTAGTAGGTATGTATCAGTCAGGATTCTCCAGAGGGAGGAAGTAACAGGACAGATGTATATACGAAAGGGAGTTTATTAAGGAGAATTGACTCACAGGATCACAAGGTGAAGTCTCACTATAGGCCATCTGCAAGCTGAGGAGGTAGGAGGCCATTAGTGGCTCAGGCTGAGTCCAAAATCCTCAAAAGTAGGGAAGCCAATAGTGCAGGCATCAGTCTGTGGCCAAAGGCCTGAGAGGCCCCAGCAAACCACTAGTGTAAGTCTGAGACTCCAAAGGGTGGAAACCTGAAGTCTGATGCCCAAGGGCAGGAAGCATCCAGCATGGGAGAAAGATGAAAACCAGAAAACTCAGTAAATCAGCTTATCCCACCTTCTTCCACCTGCTTTGTTTTAGCCGTGCTGGCGGCCAATTGGATGGTGCCCACCCACATCGAGAGTGGGTCTTCTTCTCCTAGTCCACTGACTCAAATATTAATCTCCTCTGTCAATTCCCTTACAGACACACCCCAGAACAATACTTTACCAGCTATGGAGGCATCCTTTAATCCAATCAAGTTGACACCTAATATTGACCATCACAAAATAATTTGGGTCAAGTAATGTGCTAGGCACCAATTTTCCTCCTGAGAAAGCATCAAAATCAAAATTTTATGTGCTACCGTCTTTTTGGGGATTCATGAAATTGATACTCCTGCACTCAGTCTTTGTGTATTCTATGCTTCATACTTATTTGAATAAACTGTTTACTTATCATTGTCTTACTACTTTGAAGTTGAGACTCCACTACATAGATAACAAGCAATTATTAATCAAACATTTGATGAATCAGAATACCCATTCCCATACCATGTTAAACAAGAGAAAACTAACGTTATCAATATTTTATGTAATTGTTTAGCAGTTAATTTTTTTTAAATTAAGGTAAATACCCACTACATACAATTTTTATTGTAACAGTGAAGGATGAAAAAATACTATCTTTTGGGTGGAATTACTTATTACCATTAAAAATAATAATAGACAGCTTTTCTTGTTTAATACTATGCAATCAAGAGCACTTAATGTAGAGGAAGCTTGGAGAGGGTGGTGATATAGACACAGCACATTGGAATTGTCTCTTTATTTCACATATTATTAGTATAAAGAGAAGTGATTATTGTTTCCTCAATATTCCTTCAATATTCTATACATACGTGAAGCATTTTAAAAAGACTAATGGGCAAATATTCATGAAATGTGGCAAAAATACTAAGTTCCTTGGGTTGCTAAACCTTTACGGTGCTTCTTTGAAGGTATAAAAAGACAAACTTTGTTATAAAAGTTTCGGGGCAAATGCGTGAATTTGTATCATAGCACTTCTTTGAACTTCTTTTAAATTTAGAGTTTCAAATATTCTGATTTCTTGTTGCTGTAGTTTTCTTACCATTTATTATTCAATGATGTGTTCTTATTTTATTACAATTTTGTAGATATCTTATTTTCTCTTCCTACCATCTTATGCTAAATTTACATTCTTAGAATTTAATCTTGATAACACAATATAATCTTGTCGTATTCTTTTTCGGCCAGCTGCCAGAGTCACAATGCATTTCATCATTTGCTGTTCTAGTTCCTAAATATATGTCAGAGCCCTGCAGTTCCTCCTCTGACTTCTTGATCTTAACAGCGTCCATGATTGCTGTTTCCGTGATTGTGTCAAAACATTTTCAAGGTACATAAGTGCTAAACACAATGGTTTAGAAAACTAGTTCAGCTTCTCCATTAACTGATTTATGGAGTGAAGATAGTGGAGGATAAAACGTCTTTTCAACATGGGTTTATTCTTTGCTTTGATTGAGTATCCAGACAAGTATCTACTCAGAGGAGCAAAATAAGATATTCATGGGTATACGATTAACAAATGTGGTTTCAAAGCCTTAAAATTGCTTAGGATTTATTCTATTTTGTAGCAACCTTTTACAACTGAGTTAAAATTAACCCTGAGGTCTGTGGCTTCTTATGGAACCATTTAAAATGTATGACTGTTATTTAAATTCCCCATCTTTCCCTCATGTTAGCATAGCTGCATTGATGTACATGCTTTTAAATATATTTGACAACAAGTTGTAATTACAAGTGCAGTGATTCATGTAGCCTATTTTAAGATATAAAATCTCACAAAACAAGAACAGATTTAACAAGAAAAGATTCAAGGAAGATAATTATTCATTAGAATTAATAGTAGTGGATTTTTCTTCTTTCATTTAAAGGGTAACTGAAATTTGTTTTAATCAGGTATGATAAGACACAGATATGGACATGAATGCCGGGAAAGAAGAAGTTTTTGTCTGCACCGATTTCTAGAACCAAGAGGCATAGCATGTCAGGCAGGGCCATATGGGGATGTACTAGGGTTGGTTAGGAGGCAGAGGGAATGAGAAGGAAATATAGATCCTCAATTGTTGTTCCATGGAAAGGAATGGGTGAGACAAGGTCAACAGGAAAAGCTGCTTAGGACTGGGTAGTCTGAATACTTTTGGTGGGATCTGCAGCTGCCTAGATTGTCCCTAGATACCTGGGGTACCTGGCCCTGGGGCAGTTAGGGAAGGTGGGCAGTGGCTCAAAGTGTCAGAGCCCTTTGAAAGCTGGGGCTGTTTGAGATATGGGCTGTGGATTGATTGTTTTACTTGTCAGTGTCATGCTCACAGGTGAGTCGTTTACTGTCTCTAGGAGTGATAGAACCCTGAGCGTCCCTGAGAGCACAGTTCCAGATGAAAACGCATCAGAAACACGAGGTTAATACATGTTTTAAATGATAAACTAATGTATAATCAATGCGAATCTTATTTTGTAGGTAATACTTTGAAAATGTGTTTTAGAACATGATGTCTAAGACATCATTACCAGGCCATTCATTATACTGTTGGTATAAAAGACGATGTGGTACATAGTTATGTCTTTTTTTTAAAGACAAAAGAGATAATTGCAGTTTCAAGCGGGTCGTAGTTTATAAAATACTTCTCTATCACTTATTGTGTACCTGTTGCCCACTGTCTTGTGCATATTGGTTGCCCCCGTTTTAGGAAGGAAAAGACCTATTCGGAAAGGTTAAGTAACTTGTCAGAATCCCTGCATCAGTTCACGAAAACAGCAGCTCAGTCTTCTAATTCTCATCATATGTTTCCATGCTTTGCTGATTACACCTGCAGTGGAGTGTGAGGGGCTTAGCATTCAGGTTCCTGACAGCTGCAGGTGGGACTGGGCTTTCCAGCTTCCTAACATGCAGAGGGCTTAGAGAACTTGAGGTCATTTTGAATAATTTTCCCCACCACTCTCTTTTATACAGAACCAGTCATCTGTTTTGATTCATTTATTTTCTTTCTTAGCTTCTGTGCCGAGAGAAGAATGAGTGGAAACGAAAGAGTTGGAAGTGAGGAGGCCTCTGGGGTCAGAGAGTCCACACCCAGATATTACCCCTCCTTAGCAGGGTGGATGGTATCCTGTCATTCCTTGAAAGGATAAGATAAGAGCTGCAGGCAGGGATGTGTTTTAAAGCTGGTGGAAGAGAGTTATAAGGAATGTGTTTTAAAGCTGTTAGAAGAGAGTTATAGAGAGTGAGAAGGCAATAAAAAAGGACCTAGATCCTGTTATCACTTAAATAATCAAAGAATAGAGTGTTTTTTCCAGCATTAAGGCTAACTTCAGAAGCAATATTATTTCTAAAGAGAAAGCTCAACAAGTTGTACTTGAATCACGGTTAGGATTGAGATTCCTTTTAACTCCTGGTTTCCTTTAATACTCCATTAGTGTCATATTTCACATTAATGGTATCGACTGGAAGAGTCTTGTGATAGATATGTAAGGTTATTAACATGATAATAGGTCAGAGATCTGCTAGGTGTTTTGAGTGGGGAGCTTAAGGAGACCATCCCATGGAAAGGAAAATTGTAGAAAAAGTGGTACTCAGATTGAGTAACCATTTTAGAAAAAGAAATGGTCTTAGAGATTTGGTGGGAAGTAGAATTTAATAACAGATTGACCCAGAAATGAACAAAAATTAAAATATGTAATCTTTACAAAATGTGTCATATGTACAATGAAATGGAATGCTGGAGAAGAAAAGGTAGGAGGAGGCATACACACAGAGCAAGGGAGAAGAAAATGTGGTAAAACATGATTACTGAAATTACATTTCTACAAGTATTGTTGAATTAAACAGGCACGCATTCTTTTTTTAAAAATTATTTTTATTATACTTTAAGTTGTAGGATACATGTGCAGTACGTGCAGGTTTGTTACCTAGGTATACACGTGCCATGGTGGTTTGCTGCACCTATCAACCCATCATCTACATCAGGTATTTCTCCTAATACTCTCCCTCCCCTATCCCCCCACCCCCTGACAGACCCCAGTGTGTGATGTTCCCCTCCCTGTGTCCACATGTTCTCATTGTTCAACTCCCACTTATGAGTGGGAACATGTGGTGTTTGGTTTTCTGTTCCTGTGTTAGTTTGCTGAGAATGATGGTTTCCAGCTTCATCCATGTCCCTGCAAAGGACATGAACTCATCCTTTTTTATGGCTGCATAATATTCCATGGTGTATATGTGCCACATTTTCTTTATCCAGTCTGTCATTGATGGGCATTTGGGTTAGTTCCATGTTTTTGCTATTATGAACAGTGCCACAATAAACATACTTGTGCATGTGTGTTTATGGTAGAATTATTTATCATCCTTTGGGTATATACCTAGTAATGGGGTTGCTGGGTCAAATGGTATTTCTGGTTCTAGATTCTTGAGGAATAGCCACACTGTCTTCCACAATGGTTGAACTAATTTACACTCCTGCCAACAGCGTAAAATTGTTCCTCTTTCTCCACATCCTGTCCAGCATCTTGTTCCCTGACTTTTTATTGATCGCCATTCTAACTGGTGTGAGATGCTACAGCATTCTTTCTCATTTTGTTCATTGCAAAATGTAATTATTAATTGTTTTTAACATCAGTTTCATTCCAATTTAACATAGATTTGTTGAGATAGGCACAAGTCCTAGGGAATGGAGGTGCCTTGGTGAACATGTTGGCCCCAGTCCCCGGTGACATAATAAAGATCTGGAAAAAGAGTCATAGTGACAGTTTTCAGTTCCGAACATCCATGTGCTCTCACTTCAAGCAGAACCTGATGTTAGCAGATCAAATATTAAATACTTAGGATTCTTTTAGGGTTGTATGTTGTTTCTGATTCCCTTCTTCTGAGTTCATTGTCACGTATTGTAATATAACAAGCTAGGGCTTGAGGTATTGTCAAAGCACACACTTCAGGATAAGAAAAAAAAATAGAACATACAAGAGCAGGTTGCACTTTAGTATTCTAATCGATTTTACTGATTTTTGCTTATCCTTATATATCCCGTCTCCTCACTCCACCCCAGTATACATACAAATGTATGTATGGTGATAATATCACCATAAATGTTCTGTTTATTTTTCTCTATATCTATATTTTTTCTCAAATGAATAAGCAATAATATATTAAACAGATAAAGAATGTGCCAGTTGTACCATAAAGCTTCGTGCGGCACTCCAGAAAACTTCTCACCCACTGATGAGAGCAGACAAGATTCTCTTGATGAGATGATGGCCAAGGGTCTAAACTTGTCTGAAAAGTTACTATGGTTTTTTTGTTTGCTTGTTTTTTGAGACGCTGTCTCAGTCTGTCACCCAGGCTCTAGTGCCCTGGCACGATCTCGGCTCACTGCAATCTCCGCCCCACTGGGTTCAAGCAATTCTCCTGCCGTAGCCTACCCAGTAGGTGGGATTAGAGGACTGTCCTACCATGCCCGGCTAATTTCTGTATTTTTAGTAGAGATGGGGTTTCACCATGTTGGCCAGGCTGGTCCTGAAATCCTGACCTCAATTGGTCTGCCTGCCTCGTCCTCCTAAACTGCCAGGATTACAGGTGTGAGCCACCATGCCTTCCCTTAAAAGGCACTATATTTTAACCAGAATGGTAGGTTTTGTAGCACTGTTTTGCAGATAAATATGTATCAGTTTTCAAGTGCTGCCATAATAAATTTCTAGAGACTAGGTTACTTAAACAACAGATTGATTGATTGATTGATTGATTGATTGATTGATTTTTAACGCTCTGGATGCTGTAAGTGCAAGATCAAGGTGCCAGCAAGGTTGGTGAGACATCTCTACTGACTAGTAGGTGGCTGTATTCTCACTGTGTCCTCACATGGCCTATTCTCTGCACATTCATCCCTGATGTCTCTTCCTCTTTATTTAAAGACACCAGTCGTGTTGAAATAAGTCCTCACCTTTACAAATTAATTTAACCTTAATTACCTCTTTAAAAGGTCCTGTCTTCAAAAACAGTCTTATTGAAGTTTAGGGTTTCAATGTATGAATTTTGGGGGTACTCACTTCAGTCCGCAATAGCATGATACAAGTTTGAAGAATAAACACTGAAAGGTTCATTCATGTGGTCCATAGGTGTGGATCAGCCAAGGCTTTGGTGGGCAGTCATTAAGCGTTGTCGTGACTGGGCATGGTTACTTCATGCATTGGGGAAATCAAATTAGAAATAACACCTTGGAAGAAAGGTGTGACTTTAGTGGTGTGGGTATTCAAGCAGCTCGACATATTAGTTTACATTTTGATAGAATGGGTTTCTTAAGGGAGATCAATTTGTCACATGGTAATATGAATTTTAAATACTGGATTCCTTCCTTGAAGGCTTAATTCCTAGTGACCACATTACAAAGAGTAATTTTAAAACTAGGTCACTAAACAAGGTTACTCAGGGGCATTGACTTCGCATGAAAGGAACATAGGCAGATTTACATGATAATGTTTAACATTCAAATGCTTCCTATAAAATTACTTCTAAAACTGATCATCACTCAAGTTGAAGCATGCTCTGTTGCTTTAGAACTTGGGATGTATTTGCTACTCACCACACGCATTCAACTTTGTTTCATTGTGTCCCCTAGTGACCATTTAATTTCTTAGAGCCTGTTGTCACTTTTGAGAAGCTCTTTCAGATAAGGCATGGAATATCATATTGCTAAATTTGATCTAATGATTTTCTATACTGATTGAGACATAAATAAATGATTTTTCTATTTTTTGTGTCAATTTTCATCACACATTTTTCTAGAAATTTCTCCTTATCAGAATTTTAATGTTTATGGGGTAAAAATCATTTATTTTTCTCATATATCAAATGTTTACTAAAATCTCCATTATTTTACTATTCATAATTCATTTTCGTGTCTTTTTCCATGGTTAATAAGTCTTTTCAAATTATTTGTTTATTTGACGATCATTGTCAAAGATATTTTTGTTTGCTTTTTACTGCATTAATTTTGGCTTTTGTCTTTATTATGTTTTTTTTTTCTTTCCACTCTTTTGGTTCTACTTTTTTTTTTTTCTATTTTGAGATGAATGCTTAAAGCTTTAGTTTTCTTTCTTCCTTTAAATAAATGTATTAAGGTTATACATTTTCTGCTTTTTCAACAATTAAGTCCTGTTAATTTATTTTTAGAGAAAATTATCACAAATTAAAAAACACAGACTTCAAGTGTTTGCTTCGATGCATTTTGACATTGCACATACCTACACATACAAAGTTTCGAACATATTTATCACCCCAGAAAGTTCCATCTTGCTTCTTTCTGGACACCAATCAGAAGTAACAACTTTCTGATTTTTATCACCGTAGATACATTTTGCCTAGTCTTCGAATTCATATAAATGGACGCATCAAGTAGGTAATCTTTTGTGTCTAGCTTCTTTTGTTTCAGAGTATTTTTTACTGTGCACTTATGCTGCTGCATGTGTCTATAGTTTACTCATTTTAATTGCTTAGTAATATTTCATTATGTGTATAACACAAATAACTTATTCCTCTGTTGATGGACATATGAATTTCTTTCAGTTTTTGACGATTATGAAGCTAAAAAGAACATTATTGGCTGGGCGCGGTGGCTCACGCCCAGCACTTTGGGAGGCCGAGGCGGGTGGATCACGAGGTCAGGAGATCGAGACCATCCTGGCTGACACGGTGCAACCCCGTCTCCACTAAAAATACAACAAAAATTAGCCGGGCGTGGTGGAGGGCGCCTGTAGTCCCAGCTACTCGGGAGGCTCAGGCAGGAGAATGGCGTGAATCCGGGAGGCGGAGCTTGTGGTGAGCTCAGATCTGGCCACTGCACTCTAGCCTGGGCAACAGAGTGAGACTCCACCTCAAAAAAAAAAAAAGCATTATTGTACATGCTTTCATTTCTCTTGTGAAATACCTAAGAGTGAAAGTGTTGGGTCATAAGATAGATTTATATTAAATTTCATAAGATATTGCCAAGCAGTTTTCCAAAGTACTTTTTCCATTCAATTTCCCAGCAGCAATGAATAGTATTTTCATTTTTTACACATCTTCTTTAGTAGTTGGTACGGTGAAACTGTCTAAACTTCTAAAGCTCCTCTAAACAGTATTCAAATAGAATCTTACTGTGGCTTTCATTTTTATAATCCTGTTGAGTAAAGATGTTGAGCATTCTTTTCCTGAGATTATTGACTATTTATATGTCTTCTTTGGTGAAGTGTTTGTTCAGGTATTTTCATTATTATAAATTTACTTATATTATTTGATTTGTTTTTCTCTTGGTATTTACTTGTATGTGCTCTTTATACGTTCTTTTTAAATGTCTTTTGCCGGATAAGCTTATTGAAAATATTTCCTCGCAGACTGTGGATTGAATATTTAACATCTCAGTGGTGTCTTTTGATGAACAACACATTTTAATTTTGATAAAGTTCAATTAATCAGAATTTGCCTTCATGATTCGTGAAGCTCATAAGTTTTTTACCTTAATACTTTCTTTGCTATTTGTTGAATAATATTTATACTAGATACTAGTTTTTCCTCTTTTCATCAGGTGACAGACAGTATTTGGCAGATTGTAAATATTTGCTTTATTAACCATCTTTTTATTGTTTATATCTGAATTAACTTACCTTATGCAAAACATCATATTGTTGCAGGTTTGTATGTTCATTCAAGTTTGCTAATTGTGTCACTTTTCAAGTTGTTTATACATTTATTAATCTATTCTGTATTTATACTCCCAATTTCTGATACATAGTTATTAATAATTTCTCAAAATTGTGAATTTTAAATTTATTTTTATTGGTTGAGTTTGTGGCCAGGGGAAACACATAATTGCTATATTTTCCTGGTCAACCAATACTGTGCCTCTATCATAATAGCATTTTCCATCTAAAATGTTGTTTTTTGAAATATATATAAACAGCTTTTGTTAAATGACTTACATAAAGTATATGACATTTTTCTACTCTTTTATTTTTAATCTTCCTGTGTAACTTTTAAATAATTTGTCTGTCATGTAACTGAAATTTTAAAATCCTATCTAATTTTATATATATATATATATAGATATATATATATGTATTTACACATATACACACACACACGCGTATGATTTTTTTTTTTTTTTGAGACAGAGTCTCACTCTTTTGCCCAGGCTGGAATGCAGTGGCACAATCTCTGCTCACTGCAACCTCTGCCTCCCTCCCAGGTTCAAGTGATTCTCCTGCCTCAGCCTCCCGAGTAGCTGGGACTACAGGTGCGTGCCACCACGCCTGGCTAAATTTTTTGTGTCTTTAGTAGAGACAGGGTTTCACAGTGTTAGCCAGGATGGTCTCGATCTCCTGACCTCATGATTTGCCCACCTTGGTCTCCCAAAGTGCTGGGATTACAGGCGTGAGCCTGGCCATAAAATTTTACCTAATAATATTTTACTTTAATAAGTGAAAAAAAAGCAAATTTTTATATTTCTATATATTTTTGCTGAGTTTAAGGTATTGTAACATATCTACTTTTTTAGTAATCGCCTTTCCATCTTTAAGTAATTTCATAACCACACATTATTCTAATAAAGTCTAAATCTTTTGTATATTTCAATCTTCTTTTTAATTAGTACATGGGGTGTTCTGTGAGTTGTTCATGCTTTCAGTAACTACTCAGAAAACACTCCTTCTCTATTTCCCTTGATATCGTTGTCCAAAATTAAGTTCACTTTTCATTTAATACAGAAGTAGGTGTTAGTAATAGTGATTTTTAAAAAATGTTCATTAAATTTGCCTTCACATTGTTATCAATTTGTGTGCCCCTTGCTTCTCATTATTTTTATTCTCATTCTTCTTGCTTCTGATTATTTTTTGTAGATTCCACCCCATTTAAAATCGTTTTATGAAAAAGACAAAAAATAACAGATGCTACCGAGGATGCAGAGAAAGGGAATCACTTGTACACTGTTGGTGGGAATGTAAATTAGTATAGTCATAAGGAAAACGGTTCCTCAAAAAACTAGGATTATAACAACCATATGATCCAGCAATTTCACTCCTTGGTATATATCCAAAGAAAGAAAATAAATATATCAAAGAGATAGCTGCATTCCCATGTTTATTGCAACATTCTACACAGTAGACAAAGTAGGGAATTAAGTGTCTATCAACAGAGGAATGAGTAAAGGTGGTCTATATACACAATGGAATATTATTCAGCCATGAAAAATGAAATTCTGTCATTTGCAACACCATGGATGGAATTGGACAGCATTATGTTAAGTGAAATAAGCCAAGCACAGAAAGACAAATACTGTGTGTTCTCACTCATATGTGGGAGCTAAAAAAGTTGACCTCATGGAGATAGAGAGTAGAATGATGGCCACTAGAGGCTGGGAAATGTAGTGGGGAGATGGGATAAAGTGGTGTTGGTGGGGGTTAATGGTACAAAAGTACAGTTACAAGGAATAAGATCTAGTATTAAGTAGCACTATAGGGCGACTATGGTTGACAATAATTTATTGCATGCTTCAACATAAATAGAAGAGTGAAACTGAAATGTTTCTGACACAAAGAAATCATAAATGTTTAAGGTGGTAGACATTCCACTTACCCTAATTTAATCATTAAACATTATATGCTTATATTAAAATGCAAATGTATCCCATAAATATATACAACTATTATGTATTCATAAAAATAAATATGCATATATATATATCACTTAGTGATAACTCTTTTATTTATAATCTGTAGGTGAAAGAGAAACGCTTGGTCTTATTTTATATTCACTCTGATTATTTATATTAATATCAAACTGAATAATACAAATGAATTTCAATATAGTGATTGTCTCTCAGATATAGAAGAAAAATAAGCTTTTATGAGGTGCAAAATATGAATTTCATGTCTATTTTATGCTTCATTTTATTAAAAATATTTGAAGTTAATATAATAATACAATAGTTTAATTAAGATTTTGCAGTATACCATGAAAGCTCAGTAGAGGCTATCATGTTATTCTCTCTGAATTTTTATACTTAAAAGACTTCACAATAGAAATAGGAAAAAAATAATTAGAACACATATATATATACACATATATACACTTATGTATGTACACATATATGTGTACATATACATGTATTTCCACCTTGCTTTCTCTTTAGCATTGTTTCCAGTCCCTTGCCTCTAAATAGTACAGCAGAACACAACATTCAGGGTCAAATACTGGAAAGCCTTTGTTCTCCACACATTTAGACTTGGAATGATTACTAAAGATAAGACACATTTTTCTCATACACTAGTTTTACATCATAATTTACTTGATATATAGTTATTTTGAGATTTCATTGACTTTAAGCAATTGTTCTTTAACACCAAGAGTGTGAATAAAATATTCATTGCAGTAGGCTATTCCTTCTGCTTAAGAATTAGTCCATTAATGTGGTCAGAACTCATCATTATCATATTATGCTTCAATGACCTGTGTGTTGCTATAAAGGCAATGAAGGTGGAAGGAACCACTACCACTCTATTTATAGAATGTTTGGAGAGCCTTTTACCTGAACAATGTTTGCTGCAATTAGAAAAGTATATATTATATACATATAGTATGTAATACGTAGATAACATAAAACTCATATAAATGTATATAAACATGTATAATATACACATAGATGCACTATATAGACATATGTATGCATATATATGCATAGACACAGACATATATATATATAGATAAATATATAAATTTCATGTGTTCTATGCTTGTTTCCTATCCTAAATCATTTTACATGTTTGAAGAAAATGAATGTCAGCTGGGGTCAGAGCCTCTCAATGGGAGAGGGGTGCCCTGAGGGATGGGCACCTATGGCCAGGCTCCGTGGAGCTGTCCTGTGCACAAAGGTCCCCAGCTCCACGCCTGCTAAGGCCTCCTCTCCCTCTGTTCTCCAGAAAGGTACCCCTGCCAGCTCAAATATCTGTGGGACATGTGAGGGTCCTCTGCAGCTAGGATCCCATAGGTCCACAGCAAGAGTGGGCAGTGCCCCAGTCCCACTCACCTCTTCCCCAAGAGCTTTTCAGGGCCAGGAACAAGCCCTGGTGTTCAGGCATCCTACACAGGGTTCTCAGCTTTCTTTTTCTTCAGGTTCAATATTTGCATCTTTCTCCATTCACATTCTGCATTTTCTCTCTGAAGATCTGCTCCAATTATGCTGACTTAGTCAAAATCCCTGTTTCTTTCCATGGGAGTGGCACTTCCCTGGTGCGTCTGGTCGGCCATCTTGAAAAGGATCCCGTGATCTTATTTTTGACTTAATATTTGTGCATTTCTTTTGAACCTGCCTAGCAAAATGGACATAAACAATAGAAACAAACAATGGAATAAAAATGAGGAGCTTGAAATTAGAATCTGCGTGACTTGAATTTGAATTCTGGCCCTGCATTCTATTGAATTGGTAATTTAGATTTTTTCGGAGATTAAATTCTAGTTTTTTCTTTGTTTACTGTTGTTGAAATGGAACGCATTTTATTTCCGACTTTACACACATAAATCCCTGTGTACATACTTATATAAATATACATAAAAACACATGCACATGTATGCATATACATACACAGGACATTTTGCTTGCCCCTCCCTCTGCCTAGAAGGTTTTCCCTCATATGTTTCCTTGATTCTCCTCATCATTTCCTTCTGATATTTTCTTGAATGTTATCATCTCAGTAGTCTTCCCTAGTCAACCTGTGTAAAATTTCAACTCTCTCTCACTTTGTCTTGCTTTTTCATATTGCTTTTCCCTTCTCATTTCTTGTGTTTTCCTTTTTCTCCCATTTCAGTGAGGAAAGTAATAAATATATATGTATATAAATACATATATTGTGTGCATAAATACATACATAAAAGTATGTCAACATATTAAGAAAATTCCTGCAATATTTTGTTTTATTATAATAATAAAGTATTCCTTAATAAATCCACATTTTTAAAATTTTATTCAATTTCTGAGAAAATATGGAAGATATAAAATCAATTATTATTAGAGGAATACATGCTTTTGAAAATTATTGCTTAGTGTTCCTACCGAAGACAATACTTTCATTCTTTCAAGAAATACTGTTTCTCTCCTACATAGCAAATTATGTTATAGATGCTAGATTTAATATTGGTTAACTAAATAAACATAAATATATGCCCTCATGTGGTTTAATTCTAGAGGTAGAGAGAAATAATAAAATAGAAAAATGAAATGCATTTTATACTACTAGTTCTGAGCAGAAAAAGTAGAAGAGGGAAAAGGAAAAGGAGAAAGCAAGACAAACAGAGTTGAGATTTTGAGATAGTTTGACCAGGGAACACTACTGAGAAGATGACATTCAAAAGAAGATCACAATGAAATGATGGGGAGAATCATAGAAACACCTGAGAGAGGGTATTTAGGCAGAAGGGCCAGTGAGAAAAATACTCCTAAGGTGTGAGAATGACTGAAATTTCCAAGGAACAGGACATAGAGGACAGTGTGGTTGGTGCTGGTTGTGCACAGAGAGAGTAGGAGTTAAGATCAGATAGTTAATGAATGGCCAGTGCTTACAGGGTTTTTGTTTGTTTTGGCTGCAGTTAAAATCTCCATCTTACTTTTAGTAAAATGTAGAGTTTTGAACAGAAGATTTAAATGAGATGTGAGTTATGACATTACTGTGATTGCTTTGTTAGAAAGTTGCTGAAATAGGAAAAGGACAGAAATAGGGTGACAAATTATAAAACCATCATAATAATCCAAGTGAGAATTGGTGGTGCCTTAGACCAGGCTGTGAGTGGTAGAGGTGGTGAGAAGTAGACGGATTCTGTGTATACTTTAAAGGCCAGTGGGATTTATTGATGGGCCGATGTGAAATATGAGGAGTGCAGTTAAGGCTGATGCTTTCAATACTGGCCTAAGCAACTGGAAGGACAAAGTTGCCTTTACTGGCATGGTAGAAGATGACAGAAGGATCAGGTTTTCAGATAAAAGCACGAATCAGGTATTCTCTTTTGGATATCTAGATTGAGCTCTTTATTAGACATTCAAGTGAAAATGTCCATGAGGCAGCTGGATACATAAATCTCTGGTTCTAAGGAAAGATGAGATGGAGATACAAAATGCATGGCTTTTCAGTTTATAGATAATATTTAAAACCATGGAACTAGATGCAATCACCAAATAAATGAGTGTTAGTAACAAAGAAGAGGTTCAGGGACTGAACTTTCGAGTACTCAGAAATTCTGAAATTAGGGAAACAAAGGCAACTAGAAAATATAATTAAAGAGAAACAGTCCCAGAAGTGCAAAGAAATCCAAGAGTGGCACCCTGGAAAGCAAGTGAAAAATTGCATTAAGGAGAAAATGGTCTGCTATGTTAAATGCTGCTGATACAGGTCAGTAAGTTAAGAACTTATTGGCCTTTGCCTTTAGCAATTTGGGGTCATTTATAATCATAAAAAAAATTAAAAAAAAAACAGTTTCCATGAAGTATTGGGGAAAAAACCTGATTGGAATGGATTTACAAAACAGTAGAAGAAATATTGGTACATAATATGTAAACATTCCTTTCAAGATGTTTGGCTATAAAGCAGTAGGCAGCAAATTTCCTTTTTAAATGGCTGGTTAGTAAATATTTCAGTCTTGGTAGTTTACGTGGTCTATGTTGCAACTACTCAACTCAGCCACTCATCTCTGAGGAAGCAGAAGTAGACAATATTTAAATGAATGTGGCTGGGTTGTGATAAAACTTACTTATGAAACAGGCAGAGGGCCAGATTTTACTTGTGAGCCAGAGTTTGCCTTCACTGCATAAGGATAAGAATAACTCAGATGACCACTGATACAGAGTGAACCTAGGAAATCCAGTGGAACCTTAGGTTAATGATGAGCTGTAACAGGTTTTGTAAAGTGTTTTGTTTAATAATGGCAATATTGGCAATACTACTATATTTGCATTCAACTGTTTTATTTAGAAAAATTTGTTTACAGTAGTTATTCTCTTTATTGTTATATCTATCATTATTGTTTTTAAAAATCATTTACAGTTAGTGATAGCTACTTAAGAATTTACTTATAAGTTTTATCAAGTTAGAAAAGGAGAAGCAAACTGTGAATTTTTCAGTGGGCATCGTTCATTTTTTCTGTATTTCTTGTGATCACCTTTTATTTTAAGCATGTAAGTAGTATAAAATATTTATTGATCAAGTAGGTATTTTTTTGAAGATATGTATTTGTGGCCAAGATCAGATAGTCTGAAAAGAAAAAAATATAAGTCAGAAAAAAGACAAAGAACTTGCTGGGAAAACTGGCTAGCCATATGTAGAAAGCTGAAACTGGATCCCTTCCTTACACCTTCTACAAAAATTAATTCAAGATGGATTAAAGACGTAAACTTTAGACCTAAAACCTTAAAAACCCTAGAAGAAAACCTAGGCGTTACCATTCAGGACATAGGCATGGACAAGGACTTCATGTCTAAAACACCAAAAGCAATGGCAACAAAAGCCAAAATTGACAAATGGGATCTCATTAAACTCAAGAGCTTCTGCACAGCAAAAGAAACTACCATCAGAGTGAACAGGCAACCTACAAAATGGGAGAAAATTTTAGCAACCTACTCATCTGACAAAGGGCTAATATCTAGAATCTACAATGAACTCAAACAAATTTACAAGAAAAAAACAAACAACCCCATCAAAAAGTGGGCAAAGGACATGAACAGACACTTCTCAAAAGAAGACATTTATGCAGTCAAAAAACACATGAAAAAATGCTCACCATCTCTGGCCATCAGGGAAATGCAAATCAAAACCACAATGAGATACCATCTCACACCAGTTAGAATGACAATCATTAAAAAGTCAGGAAACAACAGGTGCTGGAGAGGATGTGGAGAAATAGGAACACTTTTACACTATTGGTGGGACTGTAAACTAGTTCAACCATTGTGGAAGTCAGTGTGGCGATTCCTCAGGGATCTAGAACTAGAAATACCATTTGACCCAGCCATCCCATTACTGGGTATATACCCAAAGGACTATAAATCATGCTGCTATAAAGACACATGCACACGTATGTTTATTGTGGCACTATTCACAATAGCAAAGACTTGGAACCAAGCCAAATGTCCAACCATGATAGACTGGATTAAGAAAATGTGGCACATATACACCATGGAATACTATGCAGCCATAAAAAATGATGAGTTCATGTCCTTTGTAGGGACATGGATGAAACTGGAAATCATCATTCTCAGTAAACTATAGCAAGAACAAAAAACCAAACACCGCATATTCTCACTCATAGGTGGGAGTTGAACAATGAGAACACACGGACACAGAAAGGGGAACATCACACTCTGGGGACTGTTGTGGGGTGGGGGGAGGGGGGAGGGATAGCTTTGGAAGATATACCTAATGCTAAATGACGAGTTAATGGGTGCAGCACAGCAGCATGGCACATGTATACATGTGTAACTAACCTGCACATGGTGCACATGTGCCCTAAAACAAAGTATAATAATAATAATAAAAATATATATATATATTCTTAAACAAAAAAAAAGAAAAAAGACAAAGAGTGGAAGTAAGAAGAAGGGATTTCTAAACTGTTCATTTCTTTCTTCTCCATTGCTTCATTAATAAAATCTTAGGATAATATGGATCAGGGTGGCATTAAAGATCATCAACACTGTCATTTGAATTTATCTTCAGTAGGACAGTTTTTTTATTATAGCATACTCCTGTGAACTTATATAATTTCCTAAAGTTCTAAGCATTGTTAAATTGTATATGTATAGGCTATGTATAGTTTACTAAAATCTCCTGGGTTTGCGTCCACAGCCATTAGTTGAGGATTTCAATATTTAATTTATAAGACTCTTCTTTATAGTTATCATTGATTTGGGACGTTTACTTAGTTGATATTCCTTTATTCTTGTGGGGATCCTTTAAAAAGAGCATCACATGATTAGTCGTATATAGATAATATTGGTTTCTCTCTTTTTTTTAGTGACATTTTGCTTTCTGTCTACTTTTCCTGAGCATAATAATTTTTGTTTCAGGCTATAATTTAGTTCCTAAGAAATCCTTATAGCAGCTGTCTCCTGAATGCTGTAAAAATTACCTGACGAAAAATTAAAACATTAAAAAATTCACTTTCAAAAGAAAAACCATCTTTTAAAAACACCACAGTTTTTGTTTGTATGTGTGTTTGTGTGTGTGTGTGTGCATGCATATGTGTATTTCAATAATATAAAAAAAGTATAACATTTAGCTTAGAGAGTCACAGTTATTCATTTCTATAAAGTGATTTTCAAAGATAAGAAAAATAGGAAAACTATTTGAGTCAGTTTTTAAATGCTAAGAGCCATATTACATATATATATATATCTTATTTTAGAATTTACATTTATCCAGGTTCTACTAGCAAGTTGATAAAAGAGTCATATGATTAACATAGAGGGATGAAATAAATCTGATGCAGATTTTATGTCCACAAAATAACCTTGGAAAATCACAGTTATAGGAGAATTTAGGAAGTTACTAGAGTGGATTTAGGTGATTTTTAAATAAGAAACCAAATAATGTAAGTTATCCCTTTTTCACACACAGTTGTAGAAGAATTGTGATTAGAATTCAAGTGCCAGCTAAGAATGGCTGTATCATTTGTGAGGCCCAGTGCAGAATGAAAATACAAGGCCCTATTTTCAAAAATTATTAAGAATGTAATGACTACCACAGCAAAACATTAAATGAAGCATAGTCTTTCTGAGCATATGGCTTTATGCTCCGTACAGTTTGCATACCCATGAAGCTGTCCCCAAGACGACTTTCTCATCACTAGAGAGAATGGACAGAACTCTCCTCTCCTTGAGTCACTCTTACCAGTACCTTCCAGACTGTTCTTCTTCAATTCTTTGTGATGCAAAAAGATTTTGTGGTGCTGCCTTTCTTCGAAAAGTAGAAATTGTCTATATTTTAATGTTGATTTTAAGCATATTACTGTAAGTGATTTATAGTAAGTTTCAGAAAGTAAAGGAAACATATATTTTACTTATGGCTTCCTGGTATTGTACCTTAACACAGGAAAGAAAGCATGTATTCCCTACAAGTTGTTTTCACTCTATAATCATTTGCTTAAATATTAACAAATATAAAATAATTATTGATGGTATTGAATGTTTCATACTAAGCTTTGTTATTTATCTAGAAAAATTTTTCTAAATGATACAAAATAATATTGAGTAATCTAATTGTCGTAGTTCCTTTTTTACACTATTGAATTTCAATGGCAACTTTATAAATCATGAAATTCATAAAAAAGGAATTGTTCGAGCATTATTCAAAAATGTAGTTTCTCAGTGGATTTTACTACATACCTTTCATGCTTTTTTGTCCCTTATCATCCCATGAGTGATGAAATCATCTCATGTATTATTAATAAGATGAAATATAATTGCATTGTATTAGATGGATATTTTGAAACTCATGTAGCATTAGAGGAAGTAGGCTTTATAGAAAGTTTATATAGCATGGGCTATAAATATAGGAGTATTACAAAGTGGAATTATCATAAAATGCACCATGCTTCCCATTTGGTGCCACAAGGTAAATGAAATAAAAGGTAAAATATCAAAAATACAATGCTTTGTTATTTTCAATGAACTATGCATTTAGAAACTTGTGTTATCTGTACGTTTTCCTAAAGATGAGTTGCAAAAATGTGTGCAGCAAGAAACCTAAGATGGGTTTGGTTTTAATTTTTCTATTACAGACAAATAGAATTTTGGATTTAGAGTGTAAGAAAACTCAAAAGAAATTAATGTTTTAGTTTTCTATGTCATATAAATAATACGACTTTATTCAAATTATGATTCCAGTGTCTTCTAAACAAAACTCGGTTTTGCAGGTCCCCCAAAATAACAGTAAGTGTGCATTCAGTTTTGGGAGATGTATATCTGTATAGATTAATAATCAATATGCTATGTAATATCACTTTAAACATAACATTTTACAGTTTTAAGTGTGTGTGTGCGCATGGAAAAATTTTGAAGTTTATGATTTTGCTCTCATTGTTCAAGAAATAAATCATGGGCTCCTATTTTTCTCTTCTAGTCTAACATTGTTTTCTACATTAATCTCTGTTTTTAAGTGTATCTTTTTTTTGTTTTCACTATGACACTTATTCTGTTGTATTTTTATTAAGTTCTAAATTTGGATACTCGGCTCAATTATGTCATTCTTTTCTCTTTTCTAAGGTAAGAAGGTAATTAATTTCTAGGTTCCACTTTATCGGCCTTGTTTAAGTTTTGCTATCTGGTATTTTCCGAAGCATTTCTAAGATTAGTGACTTTCTCCTATAATTTTATTAATTTGGCTTTTGAAGCTATGTTACTAGTGCCATAAATTTTAGAATTGTTTTTCTTTCTAGTGAGTGGATTATCTTACCAGTATATACTGATATCTTTATTTCTACCAAATTGTTGTGTTCATGCCAGCTCCTACTGATGATAACTTGTTTCCTGATGTGTTTTGGGGTTTTTAAATTTGTAAGCTCCTCTAAATTGGAATTTTTCTATGAGAATTCTTTGAGGCAATTTTAAGTATAAACTTGCAGGATGGATTTATATTTACTTCTGACAGATCTCTATTGGTACTGACAAAACAGGTTGACGTTAATCTAAATTTTCTGCCTAGAGCTTTTTTAAGTTATTAAAGTGTAGTAGGCTTTTCCTTAGGAATTATCAGACATAATTTTCGTATTTTGTCATGTGCCTGCCATTGGCCATGGTCTTCTACAGAATCCTGTTTTTATGTGTGCATGTTTGTGTGTGTGTGTGTGTGTGTGTGTGGTGGAGGATATCTGTGTAATTTTACCCATACTTGGGCTCTAGTTTTTTGTTACAGGTTGAAGTTATGGTACATGCAACCTTTATGCCATAGATAGGTGGGCAGATACCTTTGTGAATTTACATACCACAGTCTTCGCTTAGGCCAGCTCTTTTTTGTTCTTTATGGCCTGTAGGTTTTACCCTTTCATCAGCTTATCTGTGCATTAAATGAAGAGTTAATATGTTCAGTTTTTTCCTCCCCAATTTTTTTGGCATACTCTATTAGGAGGAGGTATTTCTGAACCTCTTGAGATGGATCAAATATTTTATGATGATTTGATTTCCATTGTTAGGTATTCACTCTCAACCAAAAGCTCAAACTAACCTTTTGAGACCTTTTAAGGTCAAACTACTTATTTTCCAGATTTCCATGAATATGCATCGTAGACAAGTGTTCTTTTCCCTTTTTGTTTTGTTTTTGAAAACTGACTGAAGAATATATATTTTTAAAATAAATCCTGCTCTCAACTGCTATCCTTAGGCAAAACCAGACCATTGGAAGGCTAAACCACTGCATTTGAAAAAATCATATCAATAAGGAAATTTGCAACTTATCTGTCTGTCACTTCTCTAAAAGAAAGTCTCACATTGATTTAATTTTAAAATTTAGCTCTGAAAAAAACATCCCCGCATTCCCTGGTAAGTTTTCCAATATCTGACTCTGAGGATTATAAAACTGATTGTTTTGCCTTCTAGAAGCACAAAAATTCCATTGTTCTTAAATATATAGCTGCTTACCACTTGCTTATTTATTTTTAATTTTTTTCTAGTATTTTTCTGGATTTATTTTCCTGATTATGTTTTATTTATCTTTTGATCAGTTTTCTCTTGGATATTTTACATTAAATTTTCTTTAATCATCTGCAGACTGAGGTACACTATAAAACAAAGATAAGTGTGCCATGAAAACTTGACATTATTATTGGCTAAGACAAATTGAGTGGTTTAATAGAACAATGTTTTAGAAAATGTGTTCTAGATAGAAGGCATTTTATTCACTGAAAAAAAATATTCCATATAGCTTTTCGGAAATTCATGTAAGTTTTTAAATGCCAGTTAAAGTTGTGTGAGAATAAATCATGTTATTAAATCATTGGCTTGAAGTAATCATGAGCTTGAAACCAATATTGTGCTTGAGTTGTACTATGATACTGTTACTTTTTTTAACTTCTATAAACTTTTAAAAGTTTGTTTCATTAAGCTTCAGCATATGGTAAAGAAAATTTCAGGGTCGGACACGGTGGCTCATGCCTGTAATCTTAGTACTTTGGGAGGCCGAGACGGGCAGATCAGGAGGTCAGGAGTTCGAAACCAGCCTGGCCAACATGGTGAAACCCCATCTCTACTAAAGATACAAAAAATTAGCTGGGCGTGGTGGTGGGCACCTGTAATCCCAGGTACTCGGGAGGCTGAGGCAGAAGAATTGCTTCAACCAAGGAGGCAGAGGTTGTAGTGAGCTGAGATCGCACCATTGCACTCCAGCCTGGGTACAGAGTGAGACTCCATCTGAAAACAAAAACAAAAACAAACATACAGATGCTTCTAGACTTAAAATGGAGTTACCTCTCTATAAAGTCATTTTAAAGGTTTAAAAAATATCGTAAGTTAAGGTGATTAGCTTAACTTATGGTAAATCATCATAAGTCAGGGATGTTTTATTTTTCCCTGAAGGACTCCCAAAAATTACACTTAAAATCTTAGTGACAATAACAAATTAACATAAATAATATAATTATATTGAATCAATGGGCTGAAATTTCTAAATAACCTGTATTATCCTTCTTTAGCTTTTTTTTTTTTCTTTTGCGGCAGGGGTTATTACTGTTTTTAAGGGTTGGAGTTTTCTTCTTTTGTTTTATTTCCTGATCAATTCTATTTTCCAAAGTATATCATTAATCACAGTTCTTCGTAATCACAACAACAAAAATCTAACCTAGCAGATTAGTTCAACCCTCATTTGCATTTAGCAACACGTGTAAAGTGTGAGTCAGTTGGTCAGTTTTATCCTAGTATTTTGACATTTTGAATTGTCCTAGCTCAATAATTTATTTCCCTCCTCCTGATTTTATACTTTTTTCCCTTCTACTTTTGTCTGGGACATCTCCTTAAATTACAATAATGGTGACAAATTATAGTAATAGTGATAGTTATGTAACACTGTAACATTGTACTTTAAACAATGGATGAAAATATCTGAAAATGTAAGTTACTCTGCAATGTTGAAGTTTTTGAATTTTAATTTGTCTAACTTTGATACGCTTGGACATGCATTTAATTTCCTCCGGATTTCTTTTACAAATTACTATGCATGTTATCTGAACAACTTTTGCAATTAAACCTGGTACACTTAGAGGTTTCATTAGTTCTAATCATAGCTAATTTATTTAAATTTCCAAGAAACTTTTTTAATAGGCTTAGAACTGTTGTATTGTGCTTAGTTAATTACTTTTTAGTAAAAATGAGCAACTAGGGGCCTACACAGTAGTTTAGGAAATGACTACATTTGTCACCTGGATGTCCTAGTCTTGAGGAGAACATGTTTTGTGTCTTGGCCCTACTGCTCAGTCTCCTAATTGGTTTATTGTTTAAAAACCAGGTCACATTTTGGAATTGCCAAAATGTGACCTGGTCTATTGGCAACACAATAGAAAACCCAGTGACTCATTCACATTAAAAAAGAAGAAAAAATAAGGACATATTTAAACAGGGTTACTAGAGTTTACAGGAAGAGATGTTGCGTCTGAGTTAGCAATGCAGTAAATAACCAGGAAAATAAAACTATTCTCAAGGCTACATTAGACCGTTTTATGGCCGTGCACTGTCTCAAAGGCCCCCATGCTAAGTGGGTGTGTTGAGGCTGGAATCCAAGAGGTGCTTCCCTTGTCAAGTCATGTGATAAGGGAATTGCTTCCATCTCAGAGATACCATTTGTCTCCCCCCAAAAGAATTACTTTGCTAATATTTTTCCCCAAATGAAGCACTTTTAAAATTCACTACATAACTGCCCTACTGGCTAATGACAGTCCTGAATAACCTCACATACTGCAGATTTCTCTCTTTAGAAACATCTTGGGAATGAACTAAGTGATTCTAATGATGCCTCTGTAAAAATGGTTTCCATGAGGTTTAAGTGAAAGAATACAGTCTTTAAAAGTAATTACAATTCTGCGAAGTTTACTTGAGTAGACAGCATTTCATCAACCAGGCAGCGCCAGCCTGCAAGGGTTTCAGGACGGAGCTGAAGGAGGGAGAGGGGGAATACTTTTATAAGGTATTCTCAAAAGCAAGATCATGAAAATACTTAATTAAAGTGAAATGCTAGTCTTAAAGTTTCTAGTTAGGGGTTAGTTGTGGAAGTTTCTGATTGGCTAAGCTTTAGTTTTTCTTTTAGTAGAGACGAGGATTCGCCATGTTGGCCAGGCTGGTCTTGAACTCCTGACCTCAGGTGATCCACCCACCTCAGCCTCCAAAAGTGCTGGGATTACAGGCATGAGCCACCACGCCTGGCCTGGTTAAGCTTTAGTTTTGATTTTGTAGGGTGTGAAGATTTGCACTGAGTTGGATTTTGGTTTGCCTACATAGGAACCTGAGAGGCTGGAGTTGCCTCAGTATATTGGCTTTCAATTAAGCGAAAAACCAAACAAGCAAACAAACAGAAATGTCTTCAATGAATGTCTAGTTTCTTTGTCCATCTCCTATCAGAACGTACCAGATAAAGGCGATTAGTGTTACTATGTGCAGTTTTTGATTTAGTACATGAAGTCAGCACAAAAAAGGACTATTAACACTAATGCTACATGGTAAATATGACTTATTACATATGTTCCTATCCTTTTCCACTAGCATTTTTTTCCGTACAAGGGACGCATATAGGCTTTTTTTTTTTTTTTTTTTTTTACAGAGTCTCACTCTGTCTCCTGGGCTGGAATGCAGTTGAGCAATCTTGGCTCACTACAACCTCTGCCTCCTGGATTCAAGCAATTCTCCTGCGTCAGCCTTCTCAGTAGCTGGGACTACAGGCATGCGCCATCATGCCTAACTTTTTTTTTTTTTTTTTTTTGTATTTTTAGTAGAGAGGAGATTTTACCATGTTGGCCAGGCTGGTCTCGAACTCCTGATCTCAAGGGATCTGCCAGCCTCAGCCTCCCAAAGTGCAGGGATTACAGGTGTGAGACACAGCGCCTGGCCAACATATGTACATTATTAATGAGAATAAAAGTTTGTGTTGAAATTAGTTGAGATGGAGAACTGAATTTAAGAAAAAATAACTTTCACAAATTGTGTTACATTTGTACATAATTTTTAATGTTTTAACATTTATCCATTAAGTCCATAGTGACTTGCTCAGTATGTCTTCTATTTCTAGTGCTGTGTCAGGCATACTTAACAAGTAATTGTGGACTTCATGAATAAGCATAAGCTTTTCCATCTTAATTAATTTGAACATTTAATCTTTTATTGTCATTAAAAGGGTATATATGTCATACGTCCTATGAAAACAATGCTAGTGAAGATATCTTTGTCCTTCCTCTTACTTGCTTTCTTCTAAAGTTATTGTGACTATTTCTTAGTTTACTAACTTATTTTCATTGTGTATTCGGTCTTCGTTTTGAGTGTGTTTTACAAAACATCTCTGAATTAATGAAAATTCCGCATGACTTTTTTCAAAAAATTGCTTTAAAAAGATTTATGTTGTTGTTCCAAGTACTATTTTACACTTAAAAATAGGTAAGAATTAGTTACAATTAGTATTTTTTTGGTTCTATAAAAGTAGGTTATTTTAAAGTGTTTTAAAAATAGTTCTTTTTGATACAAATTATGTGTCCTGAAAATATTTTATTTGTATATTCTTATTTGAAAGACATTTTTTCGTAAACAATAAATACACAAATAAGGCAGAGTATATAATTATTATACTAACAAAATAATTTATTAACTCACGTAGACAGTGAAAAACTTTATAAAGACTGGAATTTCTAAATTATTAATCATAGGCCAAGGATCGGTTTCTCAGAATCACTTGAAGAACTTCTGAAAATATAAGTTTTAATTGCTCCATTGAATTGTTAGATCAAGTTTGAAAATAAGAACCATTAATTTATTCTTTTTTTTTTTTTTTTTTTTTTGATGCGGAGTCTCGCTCTGTCGCCCAGGCTGGAGTGCAGTGGCGCGATCTCCGCTCACTGCAAGCTCTGCCTGCCGGGTTCACTCCATTCCCCTGCCTCAGCCTCCGGCGTAGTGGGGACTACAGGCGCCTGCCACCACGCCCTGCTAATTTTTTTTTTGTTTTTTTTAGTAGAGACGGGGTTTCACAGGTTAGCCAGGATGGTCTCGATCTCCTGACCTCGTGATCTGCCCTCCTCGGCCTCCCAGAGTGCTGGGATTACAGGCGTGAGCCACCGCGCCTGGCCCATTAATTTATTCTTAAGAAATTTCTTCATGTTTGAGAATTGCTCTCTGACTTGTGACAGAAGGGAGCTTAATGGACTTCTAGAGTGACTAATGTGCTTAGCACCTGGTTTGAGTCTTAGTTTCTCTATTATTTTGCTGTACAGACTTCAACAGGTACATAATATTAAGACAATTACTTGTTCATTTATAAAATAAGGAGAGTCCCTGTGTCATAAAAGTAGTGTAGATTGCAACAGATACTCATGGTAAAATTCCTCACATAGTAAGGCATCAATAAATGTTAGTTACATTTAAATATAGCCCCATATACTCCTCTTGCAATGTACCAGAATGGATGGTTCTAGCATTGCCATTTCGACTTCACGAAGATTTAGTTTTAAATAGTTTGTCTTTTTTTTTTCATTTTGCAAATTTGGGCCTCGATTAATGAAATTATTTGCTGTATTATTTTGAATTTAATTTTTAAAATCACTGTGAAAATTTATTTTAATAGTGCTTTAACTTTGCATTCCTGCTTATGCCGTAACAAGCGAATTAGCAAACCTATTGACTGAATTCTGCACAATTGAGAAGGGTGATATCTCCTCCAAGAGATGGTTTTAGTTCCTCCTCTTCTTCCTCCTTCCATTCATACTGTAAGAGTAATTGAGCTTTCAGTAAATGACTAAATTAAATGTTTGTTGTGACATTACACAAAATAAGCATTTCATTTATAATGTATTATTTAAGCTGAAGTAATGAGGTGGGGCATGTAGCTTTCTCTGGGTTGGAGGGATTAGTTACACACGCAAGACATTCAGCAGATCAAGACGAAGATCAAATTTGTTATCTGAGAATTTGATACAAGCTAGATGAGTTCAAGTTGGTGAACAGATAATCTCTGCTGCTGATTGGTAATACATCTCAATGCTTTTTAGTAAGATGCTTTTAGATCATGACAAAATACTTTTCTTCTATGGTAAGAGCACAAAAAAGGAGAAAGGGATAGAATTCAAATTTTTATTCTTCTTCACTGTTAACCATAATTTCGTTGAAATATTTGGCCTTTGAATCTGCTGAATGATAGAGTTTAGCCACAATTAAGGACTTATAAATTGGGTCAAGATGAACAAAATTCTGGGTATCAAATTTCTTTTCTTAGAAACTTGTCTAACACATTCTCATGTAAGCAGTTTTAAGGTCCCAAGTAGCAAGAATTTGAATGTTACATGTGAAAAAATGTAATAGGATTATAAAGCTGAATACACACACACACACACACACACACACACTCGAATAAAACATCATTCCAAGTGTGTTCTTACTGAAGCCATATCATATAGAATCTTGTTCCATTAAAAAACGCATATATTCTTCTATTATGATAAAAAGCTAAAATACTTTTTAAAAAGTAGTATGTTTGTTAATACTTGGATTTACGATGTTGCATGGTGTGTCAATTTTTTTCAAACTGATTGTTAAAACCAGTTTTCTGTTTGATTCCTGAGAGCCCTTTC